>NC_000001.11:208790647-208942162 GCF_000001405.40 Homo sapiens
TTGTTGTTGTTGTTGTTATTTATATAAAATGTTAATGTTAGGTAAGTTGAATCAGTTATTCTGTTATGGTTCTTTTTTACTAGAATGTTTGAAAAAAATTCCCCCTTCTGAGATTTTTATATTCACCAGTATTTTCTATTTTCATTTTTTACTTTTAAAAATTCATTTATAATTTAGTTTTATATACTGCATAGGTAGCTATTTTGTTTTTTCTTTGCAAACTGCCAACTGATCTAATATGTTTATGGAATTATTCAGCATTTCCCTAAATGTGTTCCATGGTACACTACTGCTTCAGGATTCTGAAAAATAAAATAAGTTCTGGCAGATATACATATGTTTGAGAAATGCTGGATAATCTAGTTCCTTATTAAGATTCACAGAGCATAGTTCCATTTTAAGGTTTCAAGAAGTCCTGCTGTACAGATACTTATTTTATCTTGCTTTACCTAGAATTACGATTTAACCATGTAGTTCTTTTTCAAACAGCATCTGTTAGCATAAAAAAAAAACTCCTAATATTCTGTAGACTAGCCAGTGAGTATCTAATTTGAAAGATCAAAAAAAAAAATGTTTACCAAACATTATTGTTGGAGTGTCTGAAAAGGCTCAATATGGATATAGTATCCTCTGGCCTACTTGGGTTCTGAATAAATTGAGAAATAAAAATCAGTAGGGCAGATGGGTCAAAATATCACGTTTGTTATTGTTAATAGAGGAGTTAGAAAATGTAGTTTAGTGGGAGAGCCAAGTAGACTCTGTGAACTGAACCCCTAAATTAATGTAGCTGCTCAGTCCCAGGCAGTTTCTCTCTCCAGGGCTGCCTTCTCAGGTAAGACTTACAGACTGGAGACTCAGAGGGAATCTCTGGCTTCCATACTTAGTACTCAAGAAAAAAAAAGGAGTGTGCTGGGTCTAGCAAGCTTGGTTTATTCTTTCCAAATGTGCTAATCAGCCAAGTTACTCCCTCCTCCCTTGGCTGAATGAATGAGAGGCCAAGAGTGGTTACAGACAATCTGTCCATAAAGAATCCCAGGAATGGAAAAATGACATTCCTCTCTCACATTGCTCAGGCTTATTTCTCTATTAGGTTTAATCATTAAGAGTAATGGGTGTGGCTATCTCCCCAGGGGAGAACTGCAATCTATCAAGAGAGTTCTATGTTTGCCTTCTTAAGGCTCCTTTCCCCAACACTGGTTGCTGCTCTTTTGGGTATCCTTTCTGAGGGGAGTTGGGAGTTTGCTTCCAGAAGACTCTAAGATGGATCAAAACAGCACATTAATCAAATCAATTTCAAGGCTCTCCTACTGGAGTTGAAAACTCCTTATTCTATTTCTCATCCTAAATTATGTCTACTTACATTGTCCAATATACAGTATCAGAGATTCTGCCATGAGATTAAATATGACATAAAAGATGCTCCAATAGTAAGACAAATAAAAGGCTTCAATAATAAAATACCAACAACATTGAGATGGCCCAAATTTGATTGTAAACTTTCACCAATGTTCAAATTTCCAAAGAGTTAGATTCCCTTGCAAATGAAAATCCAAAGATATTGAAGTCTAAAATAATCTTCCATTGATCTTTCTATTCCCATGTCATTATCATACTGCTTACGTATTAAATTTTATAATATATTTGGATATCAAATAGTGTAAACCTCCTTTACTCGTCTTCAAAAATAACTTAGCTTCTGGGAGGCCGAGGTGGGCAGATCACGAGGTCGGGAGATCCAGACCATCCTGGCTAACACAGTGAAACCCCGTCTCTACTAAAAATACAAAAAATTAGCCAGGCGTGGTGGCGGGCACCTGTAGTCCCAGCTACTCAGGAGGCTGAAGCAGGAGAATGGGTGTGAACCCGGGAGGCAGAGCTTGCAGTGAGCAGAGATCGTGCCACTGCACTCTAGCCTGGGCGAAAGTGTGAGACTCCGTCTAAAAAAATAAATAAATAAATAAAAATAAAAAAAATTACTCAGCTTCATTTCTATTGGCTCTTCTAGAATAACATTAGAATTATTTTACCTAGACAAAAAGTACACTTTTGATCAGAACTGTATTCATTTCATAAATTAATTTGGGAAGGATGGACAATATTAGATCTTTTTATACATAAACATGGATCAGCTCTCAGTGGAGAAATGTTCAACTACCATCAGATGATCTGGTACATCAATACAAACAAATGTGTTTATCACAATATATCATTCCCAGGGCTAGTTTTGTTTGGTTTTAAGGATGGGTTAAGAGGTATAAAAGGAAGGCAGTCAGTGGGGATTGGCAGCTAGTAAAAGTTAAGTTTGCAGCAATGTAGAACCAGGATAGCAATACTTAGGTAAAAAGGCCTTAGCAGCATTAGACAAAAAATCAAATCACAGAGGTGACTGAATGGTCTGTCCCAATTATAAGGTTTTTTTGTTTTGTTTTGTTTTGCCATTGATAACTAAATTTAATCCATTTACATACAAGAAATGAGCTACCTGCATGAAGTTAAAGCGGTGACATGGATGATGCATAATCTAGAACCCGACTAAAGCATCAATGTTCAGATTACAGAGAAAGACATGCTACAGGTTACCTGATCTGCTTTGCTGCATTGGTGGCTAGGTCTTCACAAACATCTGTTTGACAGATCTGTCAGTCAGATGTTGTGGGTATCTACAATATGGAGAGCTGGACTAGACAGCATCAAATGTGTTTCACTGTCTTTTGATGACACCAAATTAGATGGCTACATGGGGCGGGCTGGGGCCAGCAGTAAGAGCATGCATGGGTTCTGAGCTATGATATCCTGTTCATGGCTGAGATCATGGCCACATGTTAGTTCTAGAACATGTTGAAATTTATTCTGCCTTTCTATGCCTCAGTTCCCTTATCTATATAACCGTGTGTGTCTAGAGGGGAACACCACCTACTTTATAGGATTGCTTGGATGATTAAATGGGTCAATGAATATAATGTACTTATTTAAAATGCTGTTAGGCATAGAGTATGTGCTCAACAAATATGAGCTGTTATTTTTATTTTTATATTATTCTAATTTCTCAAAGAGGGGAAAACTTTTTCTGCATTGCAGTAGCTGCTGAAACTTAGGATAAAATATGTATGTGTTTTTTATTCTTTATTAACTCCTGTAGGATCCTTCCACACTCCCTGCAGACAAAGGTGACTCCCCTTCTAGGCACCAGCTGCCTGTGAAGTAGAACAGATGTATAGTAAACATCAGGCAGTATCTGGAATAGCTACCCACCTTCTTCCAATTAATCATGCAATGTGGAAATTGGAGAAAACTTTTATATTTAGTGCAATGTTCCCCTTCACATATTTTGCATTAATTTGGGGTATGATGATTGCTGTCTGACAAGTGTAGACAGTGGAAAAGTCTGTGATGGGTCCATAACTCTTTAGTGGCTTGGTGTTAGCATTCTTCACAAAAATTTATGTCATCCACTTCGTCAGGAAGTCTGATGTAAAGCTCAGAATTTTGAGAATTGCTGGAAATTCCAAGGAGCCGGGAGAGGATATTACACAGTGTTGCTAAATACTTCAACTGTATCACAGATCTTAACACTCCCTGCACTCTAGAATTACCTGGGAAGACTTAAAAATATCCATGTCTGGACCCTAGCTCAGTCCAGTTAAACCAACTCCCTGTAGGGCAGGACAAATGCATGACTTTTGAATAATCTCTTATCCCACAGGACATGGCCTTGCTAATATCTTTGATAGTTCCTTTCAGGGCATTTCCCCCAAAATCCTGAATGCTTTCACTCTTCAGATTACCATTAGAATTATTTAAGACTTTGAGAGGTGGAAAACTCTAAAAGTTCAACCCATCTCACCCTCCACCCAGTGAAGGAAGCTGATCTATAGAATTCTTGACAGCTGGCCATCACTAGATGATTGTATGCCTTTGGTGGCTGAGAACTCACTACCTCTCAAGCGAGACCATTTCATGCAGACTATTACTGGATGGTGCCAATTATTGAAAAATATGTTCTTTTGTTGATACAAAATATGTTCCTTCTGACTAAAATTCAACTGGTTGAAATTTGCTCTCTAAAAAATAAACCTAATCTCTTCCATTGGCAGCCCTACAAACATTTAAAGGGATCTATCATATCCTTCCTGACTCTTTTTTAACTTTCACAAACTTAGATTCTACACTTATTCCCAATAGGATAAAATTCATAGACTGCTCCTAATTCAGGTTAGCTTTCTTTAGACATACAGTTGTTGGTCAAAGTTCTTTTCAAAACACAATACCCCAAATTAAAGAAAGCATTCTAAGTATTATCTCATACATATCTAATATTCACCTGAATGAATACACCATCCTTTAGATAACTGAAAGACTTAAGATAGGCCTTAAAGGATATCAAAAGTGTATACCAAGAGTCTCATATCTAGGAAATAAGCATGTTCATCCATGAAGGCAAAAAAAAAAAAAAAATGTGACATGTTTAGAGAAGGCTGAAGAGACCAATTTAAACATAGATTTGTTAATATATGATTATATTAATTTTCTAATGCTGTCATAATGAAATGCCATGGACTAGATGGCTTAACAACAGTAATTTATTTTCTCAGTTCTGGAGGCTAGAATTTCAAGATCAAGGTGTGTGCCAGTTAGGTTTCTCCTGAGACCTCTCTCCTTGGCTTACAGATGGCTGCCTTCTTGTCAGGTCCTCACATGGCCTTTCCCCTGTGCACGTGTATCCCTGTCATCTCTTTGTGTGTCCAAATCTTCTCTTTTTATAATGACATAAGTCAAATTGAATGGGAGCTCACCCTGACAGCCTTGTTTTAACTTAGTGATCTTTTTAGATGCCCTATTCCAAACGCAGTCACATCCTAAGGTACTGGGGATTAGGGCTTCAACATATGAAACAGGCGGAGGGGGGGCAGGGGCGGGACACAATTCAGCCCATAGCAATAGCTATCTATCTGTCTATCTATCTAGCTGGCTGGCTAGCTAGCTACCTAATGTATCTCCTATCTATCATCGATCTATATATTTCCTATTTATCTATAATCTATCTATGTATCTTCTTTCTCTCTCTCCTATCTGTCTACCTACCCATCTCCTATTGTCTATCATCTATCTATCTATCTATCTATCTATCTATCTATCTATCTATCTATCCATCCATCCGTTCATCTCATATGTATGTTCTTGGGGCTTCTTTCTCTATTCTCCTTGCCACAGGTCCCAGGATCTCAATCTAATTTTCTATCCTTTTCAAGGCTTTTAACCCAAGACTGATACAGTTGACTGGGACTCAGTTTCTGAGGCTTCCACCAAAAACAAACATAAAAGATTCTTAAGTTTTTGTTTAAAACACTTCTGATTTTGAAATAATTTTAGACCTACAGAAAAGTTAAAAAACATGGTACAGAAAGCACTCCTGTATTCTCCACTCAGCTTTCTCCAACGTTAACATAACTGTAGTGCAATGATTAAAACCAGGAAATCAACATCTATACACTATTAGTAACCACACTACAGATGGTAAAATTTCACATTCTTCACTACTGTGCATTTTGTATCATCAGAGCTAGTCCAATATCCCACATCGCTTTTAGTTGTCTCCTTCAATCTGAGCTATTTCCTCAGTGAGTCCCTGTCTTTCATAACCTTCATACTTTCAAATAGCACCAATATTTTGTAGAATGTTTCCCATTTGCGTTTGCTCAATGTTTTTTCATAAAAACCTTAAATAGAAAGAAGTTCATACATTTTTGGTGAGAATACCACAAAAGTGATGTTGTGCCCTTCTCACTGCATCTTATCAGATGGTGCGTGATGTCGATGTGTGTTACTGATGGTGATGGGAACCTTGGTCATCTGCTTAAAGTTGCATTTGCCAGAGATTTAAATTGAAATTTGTTTTTCTAATCAGCAGTGTAGACAGATAAGGGGAAATTCAGACAAACTTGGAGCAGTCAAAAAGATTAAGACGTCCTATAAGCTACTTATGGTTTTTGCTTCTGGTCTAATAATGTTCCAGATTATTTATAGATGACAATGGGAAATCCCAGTAAACTGTGATTTTTTTTAACTTTTTGGGGTTAGACTCTTCCAATCTGAAATCAAACTTCATCTCTGTAGAGTAACAGGTGTTTGATAATAAGACCCCACTTAAGTACGTAATTTGCTTTCCAAACCTGGTGATGAGGGGTGAGCTTTAGCCTTCACCATAGTCTCCATCAATCCACGACTTCCACATCAAATAAGCATATGCTCTAATTACAAATGCTGTGCTTGCTATACTAACATAGTTTCAAGACAGTTTCCATGTGATAAAAGAAACTTCAGCCAAATTAAATTTAAAGGAGTTTAATTGAGCAATGAACAATTCACAAATCGGGCAGCCTCTTGAGCCACAGTAGGCTCAGAGACTCCAGTGAACCTATGTGGTGGAAGAAGATTCATGAAGAGAAAAAGGAAAGTGATGTACAGAAAATGGAAGTGAGGTACAGAAGCAGCTGGATAGCTTACAGCTCAGCCTTTGCCTTACTTGAACGCAGTTTGAACAGTTGGCTACATTTGATTGGCACAAGTCTAAGCTATGGTCTATTTACACCTCCACTTGTTATAGTTCACGATGTGCAGAGAAACCATTAGGCTGAACTTAAAATATGTAAGGAGGCAGCTTTAGGCTAAATTTGATTTAACACATGGGACAACTACCTGTTTCTTTCTGACCAATTATTTCTTAGCCCCATTATGTCTACATATAAAGGACTACTGCTTTCCCAGTCTCACTGATTTATTTTATGAGACTTATCTCAGATGGAACAGACCTTTGAAATTTATATATATACACACACACAAATCCTATGTCATTTCCTTTCTGTATTTTTTTTTTTTTTTGTATACTTTTTCTCTTCTAGGGTAGTGGGAAGCTTACATCAGGGAAATTAGCAAATTTCCTTAGGCAACCTACAAAGAAAAAGATCTTAAAACCACTCTCCAAATTTTGTTGTGTGGAACCAGCAATTCTTTTGTGAAACCAGCTACCACATATTCTATCATTCTTCATTTCTGAATCTCAAGTTCAGGGCATTAGATAAGCATAGACCTTAAGTTCTACATCTCTAGATAGGAAGGTTGAGTCTTTAGTGGGCTCTGCCTAATATCTGGCAGGACACCTTATTTTAAGGTGCAACCCTTCCTTTAGACAAATGAAATGTTAGTCTCTTTGCTGTCAACCAGTGCTTTGCAATCTCTGTCATTCATTAGAATCTCCCGGTATCTTGTTAAAATGCAGACTCAGATGCAGTAGATCTGGATGGGGCTTGCAATTCTGCATTTCAAACATTCCAGAAGATGCTGATCTGCTAGTCTGTGGACCACATTTTTTTTTTTTTTGAGATGGAGTCTCACTCTGTTGCCCAGGCTGGAGTTCAGTGGCCTGATCTCTGCTCACTGCAATCTCTGCCTCCTGGGTTCAAGTGATTCTCCTGCTTCCGCCTCCTGAGTGGCTGGGATTACAAGTGCACAACACTATGCCCAGCTAATTTTGTATTTTTAACAGAGACAGAGTTTCATCATGTTGGCAAGGCTGGTCTCGAACTCCTGACCTCAGGTGATCCACCTGCCTTGGCCTCCCAAAATGCTGGGATTACAGGTGTGAGCCACTGCGCCTACTGGACCACATTTTGAATAGTAAGGCTGTAGAGTCTATTGCAGATATCTGGCCAGGTGAGAAGAGAGGCATGAGGACACCATTAGAAATGGAGGTCCTGTCCAGCTGTGATGGCAATGCAGGTGGATCATCTAAGGTGAATCATGAAAGTAGACAAAACTTTCTATTAAAAAATCTTTCTGGAGGTACTTATTCTCAAAGAAATTTAGTGAAATAGAACCACTTTAGACTAAGTAACCACCTCTGAAATTGGATACTTAATGTGGTATAAAAGAAATTCCCATCTAAAGGTGGTGGGATGAATTTGGAGGGAAGACTGAAGTTATAGCATATCATTTGAAAAGAACTTTGTGCATATTGTTTTGCTCCATAGGGTTCAGGTAGGAAAGGGGTAGAGGTGAAGGCCGGGAATGTTGAGAACAGAACAACTAGACAGGAATGACAGAGACAGATATAAAGTATAAATGAAATGTCTTTTACTATGGGCTAGAGTGTTTTCAGCACTGTCTACATGTTATCCCCAATTATCAGAACAGCCCTATCAAGGAGAAAATATTCTTATTGTCATTTTACAGATGCATAGTGAGGTTGAGAGAGATTAGTATGCCAAGGGTGAAACAGCTAGCAAGTGATGGGGCTGAGATTCAAACTGAGGTCTTCTAACTTTAGAACTCAGTGGCGTAACCTCTGCACCGTAATACTACTATGGAGCTGGAATCATAAGAACGGAAACATCAGAACAAAGACATCTGAGCCAAGCTTCAGCAACCCACTTCTCTGACCAAAACTTGAATTTTGCTATCATCTGGTCTATAACACCTGTGAAATCATAAACTCCAATATCTTACTCTCTGGTCATAACTTCCTATATTTCCATTGATATCATTTTATTACTTTACTCCTGCTCTTAGATATCATCAGGACCAACAGTCCCTTAACCCTGCCATTTCCCCATCCATCCCACCCTCCTGACTTCAGTCCCTTTGCCACCAAGGCACACCCCTACTACTGTAACCACTCTGTCACTGTAACCCTTGCCCCTGTGAGCCTGTTCTTCTGCTGCACCCACTCAGAACAACCTTAGCCCCAGGCAAAAGCGGTCAGAAATGAGGCATGCCACTTTTAAGCCTGGCTTGTAAAATTCTCCAGTAAATCCTTATGCACTCCTCCTTTCCATCTGTCAGCTGGATATACATGACCATTGCAATGTGATGAACAAGATGGCAAAAACTCTTTTATCTTGATATCCTGAATGACTGTGGACTAGAGCCCCCCTATGTCACTATCACTTGGAAGTTATGAAAAAAAGAGAAAGAAATAAACATCCATTAAATTACTGAGATTTCAGGTTTATCTATTATAGAAGCTAGATTTACTTAATGAATGGAGAAATTGTTGTCAGAATTGGGGTACAATTGGATGAAAAACCTAAAATATGTGGCACTGACTTGGCAATTTGGGGGGTGTCAAAGAGACTGATACTGGAAGCAGGGCAAGTGGACATGGCCTTTCAAAGCCAAACATTTAGCAAAACATTTGATAAAACATGGAAGTAACATGACATGCAGGCTGAGTCAGTGATCCTAAGGAAGATGGTTGAAAGGATCAAAAAGAAATGGTTATAATTGTTTGTCATTGGAAAGTTATTATAAGAAAGAGATAATCTCAGGACACAACTGGCTGATTTTTAATCAGAATGAAAAGAAATAGATGTCAGGAGTTTGGAGCCTCAAAAGTAGGAAAAGCCTACTGCCTGTAGACCCCAAACATTGAGAAGATATATTACTTCTGAGACAGCCGAGTATAAATAGGTCGTTGGAGAACCTGTGCCAGCCTGTGCACTGGGGAGAGTACGTACTAGAGTAGAGCCTCACTAAGTTCATGTCGTTTGCAGGGGGAAGGAGCCTGGCCTCTCCTGTTCTGGGGTGGAAGCGGGACATTCAATCTGTGAGGCAGGAAGCCTACTAGCAGGACTCTTGCTTTGCCGAGAGTCCCTCTTTCCCGTTTTTTCCTGTTCACCAAATAAACCCTGCCTCCTCACCCTTCAAAGTGCCTGTGAGCCTAATCTTTCATAGCCATGTGACAAGAACCCGGCTTTTAGCTGAACTAAGGAGAAAGTCCTACACTTTTAATTTTAATTTGCCATTACTTTTAAATGGCAAAAACTGCAATTACGTTTGCACCAACCTAATAATTAAAAAAGAAACTTAGTGACAAAGGCTTCATAAAATGAGTCAGTCGAACAACGTGACTGATCCTTGCAGCAGAGATGAAATTAAGAAATAATATAAGGAAGGCCTAGGTAGGTGGGTTACCTGAGGTCAGGCGTTAAAGATCAGCCTGGCCAACATGGCAAAAGCCCATCTCTACAAAAAAATACAAAACTTAGCCCCAACTTGGTGGTGTGTGCCTGTAGTTCCAGCTACTTGGGGGTGCTGAGGCAGGAGAATTGCTCCAGCCCAGGAGGTCAAGGCTGCGGTGAGCCATGTCCACTGCACTCCAGCCTGGGTGACAGAGCAAGATCTATTTCTTAAAAAGATAATGAAATGATATAAGAGAAAACTGTACATTCCTATATATATTTCAAGGGTCTCAAAGTAAACTGATATTAAGAAAGAGAGCATGAAGCAAGAAAGCAAAAAAAAAAAAAAACAGATTAAGAACTTTGTCTAGAAAGTAAGCAGTAAGCTTGGATTGGATTTCAGGCACAAGGAACTGACTGGAAACAAATAGATCAG
The DNA here is from genome assembly GCF_000001405.40 of Homo sapiens. NCBI lineage: Eukaryota > Metazoa > Chordata > Mammalia > Primates > Hominidae > Homo > Homo sapiens. The sequence goes on from NC_000001.11 coordinate 208,801,040, forward strand.
AAGCTTCCTAAAATGTTTAGGTTATGCCATTTATTGTTATTTAGGTTATGGTATTGTTATGTATTATAGCAAAGATACGAGTTTAGACTAGAAAATCTTTGGCTGGTGAAACTAAAAGCAACTACTGGGTCCTCAAACCTCACCAGCAAAAAATCAGGCTGTAACTGAAAATGATCGGTCTGCTTTTGGTTCCGTGTTTTTCCTTTCTTCAGGCTTTTTTTGCCTATAAAGCCCACCTCTCTGCTCAGCTCATTGAAGCACCTTTACATTTTGTAGATGGGATGCTGCCTGATTTGTAAAATGCTAATAACAGGCAATTAGATCTTTGAAATTTGCTTTGTTAAAATTTTGTTCTTTGACAATGAAAACAGAATTTAGTTAGTAATGCACCGTGGGAAGAGCATTCCAGGCAAAGCAAAAAGGCACATAGGTAACTATTTCCCCTGCTTCTCTGGTAGAGGCTAGTCTGTGCTGCAGCATATGAATGCCATCTCTATTCACAAGTGTTTGTTTGATCCCACTGCCCAAAGTAGATCCCACTGCCAGCCTCCGTAACCAAAAAACATCAAATGTGATTTTTCTCTCCCATCCTACAGTGGGTCAGGTGATTATTTTTGTATTGATGTACTTTCAGCAAGATCTGGGTTCCTACACCAGTTTACCTCTTACCTGCAATGTGATGTGTAGCAATTTAAAATAATTATCTGAGGCTTGGTTTTTTCATTTCTAAAATGAAGTGTATTACTAAAAGTGAGTCTTACAGTGTTCTACAGCAAACAAAGATCTAAGTAGCTTAACATGACAAAGGTTTATTTCTATGCACAAATACCCATGTGGGTCTGGATGACTTTTTAGGGCAACTTTCTTCCATTTGACAGCTTAAAAGTCCAGGCTGATAAATGCTTCATGCTAAATCTCCATCATGTGGAACACACAGACTCCTTGATTAATGAATGGAAAGAGAGTCTAGAAAATCGCCTATGGTCTTATTGCCAAAAAATAGCCCATGCTTCTTTTTTTTTTTTTTTTTTTTTTTTTTGAGACAAGGTCTCACTCTGTTGCCCAGGCTGGAGTGCAGTGGCATGACCTTGGCTCACTGCAATGTCCGCCTCCCAGGTTTAAGAGATTCTCCTACCTCAGCCTCCCTAGTAGCTGAGATTACAGGCGCCTGCCACCAGGCCTGGCTAATTTTTGTAGTTTTAATAGAGATGGGTTTCAGCATGTTGGCCAGGTTGGTCTTGAATTCCTGACCTCAGGTGATCGGCCTGCCTCGACCTCCCAAAGTGCTGGGATTACAGACGTGAACCACCACACCCAGCCCCATGCCTCCTCTTTTAGCAGCCTATTGTCCAGAACTCATCTCCCAGCCTGATCCAGCTGTAGGGAGGTCTTCCATGAGCTAGAAGGGCAGCAGTAATATCTACCTTGCTTGGATAACAAAACTTTTCTCACAGGAATGTTGTAAAATTTATACAAGTTAGGTAAAAGAAAGTTGCTTTATAAACTCTAGAAAGCTATATCCATACTATAAAACTCTGGTCTCTTGATACCCATCTAGGAATATAGATTTGTGAAATCTTAGAAGATCTTTATTTTGGAGAACTACTTTCAAATGACATCCTCTCTTATTTATCTGTTTTGCTTTTGAAACATAGGCACACTAAACTGTAATTCAATTCAGTAAACACATATTAAATACCTACTATTCAAGTCACTTTCCCTAATTCAGTGCAATCAGACCAGATTTTTGAGGCTAATTCTAACAACAGAATGAATAAAGCCAAATAAACCCTTTGAAGGGTGCCTGACTTTGTTGGCATTGGGCACCAACAAAGCCCAGATGCCATGTTTCTGCGAAGTCCTTCAAATGTTAGGGGAAAAATAATTCAATGCTTCACACTGTACAAAACATAACTTCATCTTGCCCCACACATTTTCCCCAAGAATAAGTGGCTATTTAATATCATAGGGGTTTCTAGTAGCTCAGCTCACCGTGGGCTGAAATTTTCTCTGCACAGTTTAATGCTGTGTGTGTATGTGTCTGTGTGTGTGTGAGTGCGTGTGTATGTCTTTATGTAGCTCAAACTTTTCTAAAAGGAAGTCAAACTGTCCTCTCTCTGCCTTATCCCCTTTACTCTAATCCATCTGTTATTATTCCCCTGGCTTCTCTGAGGACTAAATGTCGCTAACTTAATTTTGTTGAAGTTAATGATATGGCAATAAGAAAAAAGACAGAGGGAGAAAATGGTAGGATGTTGATTGCCATTAGTCTATACATATATAATTGAAGATTTCAAGTGGGGGAAAGTTTGCTGCAGCGTTGTTAGAACTGCTCTTCAGGGTGTGATTGCCAACCAGGTTTCAAAATTGCAGAGTGGGAGAGCAGCCTGACATCAGGGAGGTGGGTAACAGGCTGCTGAGCCTCTTGCCAAGATGTAATAATTACGATGAAAATGCAATAGTCTCACTGCAAGAGGCAGAGGCTATTTAGAGTATCCCCCACCCCCACCTCGCTCTGTCGTTACTGATCAAGGCTCATTGTTCTCTCACTTAATGTAACCACAGCTTTCAGATTTCGAAGTGCTTCTTAACTTATCCTTCTTTGTCATTCTGCTTGAATGTTATCTTTGGAAAATGGAACACAACCCACAGTCATAACATGTGCCCCTTGTGAAGGAGGATGACACTTAAGGCACTTGAACACAGGCTAATAAGTGCTTTCAGGGCTGGGTGTAGGCGGTAGGCTTTATGAAAGTTCTCTAACCCCCTGAGAACTTAGATCAACAAAGACACAGGTCAAAAATCTACCACTAGATGTTATTTTCCTGGAGAAGTGGATGCACTTTTAAAATCTTTGCTGCAAGTTGCTTGTAGCAACTACTCTCAGAAACCACTCTCATCCCAAATGTTACTGTTTTTGGTTTTTTTTTTAAACACATTTATTTTAGGTTTGGGGGTACATGTGAAGGTTTGTTACAGAGGTAAACATGTGTCACGGGGGTTTGTTGTACATATTATTTCATCACCCAGGTGGTGAACCCAGTACCCAGTGGTTATCATTCTGCTCCTCTCCCTCCTCCCACCCACCGCCCTCAAGTAGACCCCAGTGTCGGTAGTTCCCTTCTTTGTGTTCATGAGTTTTCATCATTTCACCCCCACTTGTAAGTAAGAACATGTGGTATTTGGGTTTCTATTCCTGCATTACTTTGCTAACGATAATAGCCTCCAGCTCCACCCATGTTACCTAAAAGACAGGATCTCATTCCTCTTTTTTTTTGGGGGGGGTGGTGGGGATGGAGCCTTGCTCTGTCGCCCAGGCTGGAGTGCAGTGGTGCGATCTCGGCTCACTGCAAGCTCTGTCTCCTGGGTTCAGGCCATTCTCCTGCCTCAGCCTCCCAAGTAGCTGGGACTACAGGTGCCCACCACCACACCTGGCTAATTTTTTGTATTTTTAGTAGAGACAGGGTTTCACCTCATTAGCCAGGATGGTCTCGATCTCCTGACCTTAGGATCCACCCACCTCCGCCTCCCAAAGTGCTGGGATTACAGGCGTGAGCCACCACACCCGGCCAGGATCTCATTCCTTTATATGGCTGCATGGTATTCCATGGTGTATATGTACCTCATTTTCTTTACCCGATTGGTCATTGATGGGCATTTAGGTTGATTCTATGTCTTTGCTATTGTGAATGGTGCTGTGATGAACATTCTTGTGCATGTATCTTTATGGTAGAATGGATTTCTATTCCTCTGGGTATATACCCAGTAATTGGATTGGTGAGTTGAATGGTAGCTCTGCTTTCAGCTCTTTGAGGACTTGACACACTGCTTTCCACAATGGATGAACTAACTTATACTCCCACCAACAGTGTATAAGTGGTCCCTTTTCTCCACAATCTTGCCAGCATCTGTTATTTTTGACTTTTTAATAATAGCCATTCTGACTGGTGTGAGGTTGTAACTCATTGTGGTTTTGATTTGCATTTCTCTAATGATCAGTGATATTGAGCTTTTTTTCATAGGTTTGTTGGCTGTATGTATGTCTTCTTTTGAAAAATGTTTGTTCATGTCCTTTGCCCACTTTTTAGTGGGTTTCTTTGTTTTTCTCTTGTAAATTTGTTTAAGTTCTTTGTAGACTCTGGATATTAGACCTTTGTCAGATGAAGAGATTGCAATAATTTTCCCCATTCTGTAGGTTGTCTGTTTCCTCTGTTGATAGTTTTTTGCGTGTGTGTGGTGCAGAAGCTCTTAAGTTTAATTAGATCCCATTTGTCAATATTTGCTTTTGTTGCAATTGCTTTTGGTGTCTGTGTCATGAATTCTTTGCCAGTTCCTATGTCCAAGATGATATTGCCTAGGTTGTCTTCCACAGTTTTTATAGTTTTGGGTTTTCCATTTAAGTCTTTAATCCATCTTGAGTTGACTTTCATATATGGTGTAAGGAAGGGGTCCAGCTTCAATCTTCTGTATATGGCTAGCCAGTTATCCCCAGCACCATTTATTGAATAGGGGGTCCTTTCTCCATTGCTTTTTTTGGTCACCTTTGTCAAAGATCAGATAGTTGTAGGTGTGTGGCCTCATTTCTGGGTTCTCTGTACTGTTCCATTGGTCTATGTGTCTGTTTTTGTACCAGTACCATGCTGTTTTGGTTACTGTAGCCCTGTAGTATAGTTTGAAGTAAAGTAATGTGATGCTTCCAGCTTTATTCTTTTTGCTTAGGATTGCCTTGGCTATGCAGGCTTTTTTTTGGTTCCATAGGAATTTAAAATCATTTTTCTCTATTTCTGTGAAGAATGTCTTTGGTAGTTTGATAGAAATAGCATTGAATCTGTAAATTGCTTTGGGCAGTATGGCCATTACAATGACATTGATTCTTCCTATTCATGAGCATCAGATGTTTTTCCATTTGTTTGTGTCTTCTCTGATTTCTTTAAGCAGTGTTTTGTAATTCTCATTGTAAGGATTTCAATGGTTAGCTATATTTCTAGGTACTTTATTATTTTTGTAGAAATTGTGAATGGGATTGCCTTCCTGATTCGGATCTTGGCTTGGCTGTTGGTGTATAGGAATGCTAGTGATTTTTGTACATTAATTTTGTATGCTGAAATTTGCTGAAGTTGTTTATCAGCTGAAGGAGCTTTTGAGCCGAGGCTATGGGGTTTTCTAGATATAGAATCATGTCATCTACAAACAGGGATAGTTTGAGTTTCTCTCTTCCTATTTGGATGCCCTTTATTTCTTTTTCTTTTTCTTTTTTTTTTTTTTTTTTGAGATGGAATCTCACTCTGTCTCTCAGGCTCGAGTGCAGTGGCATGATCTCAGCTCACTGCAACCTCCGCCTCCTGGGTTCAAGCGATTCTCCTGCCTCAGCCTCCCAAGTAGCTGGGATTACAGGTGCATGCCACCACATCTGGCTAATTTTTTATATTTTTAGTAAAGACAGGCTTTCACCATGTTGGCCAGGCTAGTCTCGAACTCATGACCTCACGTTATCTGCCCGCCTCGGTCTCCCAAAGTACTGGGATTACAGGCATAAGCCACCACACCCAGTCCCTTTATTTCTTTCTCTTGCCTGATTGCTCTGGTCAGGACTTCCAATACTATGTTGAATAGGAGTGGTGAGAGAGGGCATCCTTGCCTTGTGCTGGTTTTCAAGTGAAATGCTTCCAGATTTTGCTCATTCAGTATGATGTTGGCTGTGGGTTTGTCATACATGGCTGTTATTATTTTTAGGTATGTTCCTTCAATACCTAGTTTACTAGACTTTTAAAAAATAAAACAGTGTTGGATTTTATTGGAAGCCTTTACTCTTACACTTCTAGAGCACTTGGCCATTACAAACAGCTGTCCCACGCAGTGCCTCACTTTTCTATCTCAACATGAAGAAAGGAAACTTCTATGTATCAAATGTCTTCTGCGTGCCAGGCCCCATGCTGGGTACTTGATGATATTAGTTTCAAACATATTTAAGGTATTTTATAAGAATACATCAAATGTAAAATAACACCAATAAAAACTGAGTCAAAATGGAAATGAAAAACAAAGGCAGGAACTTAAAATATAGTCAGGAATAAGGCTAGAATGAATATTCTACAAACTTGAAGTAAGCCACAAATTTGGTTTTCAAGTTCTATAGGAGCCAATGTCACAAAAAAGGGGGAAACAACTTAATAACAATCAATGCAAAAAGGAAAACAAAAGATTACACCATTTACAACATTCATCAGATAAAAGCAAATTAGTGGCTTAGGAAAAACATGTCTCTTCTCTGGACAAAAAATGGGCAGGAGCTCTCCTGGGTTTTCTCATAAACAGAACTCTGTGTTTCATAAAGGGCAATGTCTTTAACACATCCTTGAACAAGAAACAACAAGTAGAATGTTTATTTTTGTTGAAATATGGGCTACTACTACACCGTCAGATATTGGGAGAGCCCAGTGAGGCTCTGAAGGCACAAAATTTAAGGAGACATCCACTGTCAGGGTTGTGCAAGTGCCTACTGAAATTCTGTGCCCTGGGTACCTCCCTTGCCTCCCACTAGCCCTGCCCTGTCATTATATTACTCATAGTCATATTCAGTAGGAGGAATTCTCTAAGGCTGTGGTTTACAATAGGGGATGACTTTTCTTCCAGGGAACATTTGGCAAAGACTGGAGACTTGGTCACTGCTGGGCAGATGCTACTGGCATTGAGTGGGTAGCGGTCAGGGAGACTGTTGAACATCCTACAGTGCACTTGATAGCCACTCACAGCAAAGAATTATACAGTCCAAAATATCACTAAGCCTAAGTTCAGAAACTCTGCTTTTGGCAGAGCCATACTCCTTACCTGAGCTCATGTGGTGACTTGCTGCATAGGATGATTCTGCTTTCTTATCCTCGTGGTAAATGAATCATGAGCTCTGCTGTTGTAACTTCCTAAATATCACCCCATCTTGTGTTTGGACTACTGCCATAGCCACAGTGGTAGACACTTTTAAGAGCCTACAATAGCATCCCTGCAGCAACAGCATCTTTGCTTAGAAAAGTCATATTTCACCTTGGAATAAAAGGAAGAGATCTCCTGATTTAGACGAATCATGTTGATCTATTCTTCTTTGCCAAGGATTGACTTAAGTATGAGCATTTGCCCTCTTTCTGGCCAGTGATATAAAAGGGAAGCCTGCTGGGGGACTTCTAGAAAAGATTTTGACTTCTGATAAAAGGGACAGATAGAGCTAGTGTTGCTCTCCTTTCCCTTTTTTCTACTTGAATGTGGACTCCATGTCTGGAGCTGTGGTAGCCATTTTGAGACCATGAAGTAACAAGGAAAAGGAAGGAAAGGCAAGAAGCAAAGAACATTGGAGCAAAAAGAATACACTCTTGCCACAGAGCTTTTTTGAGCTTGCAATTCCTTTTGTCTGCAATGCTCCCCCTCTACCTCCCCATGGTTAATTCCTAGTCATTCTTGACATCTCAGCTTAACCCTCATCTGTGGGAGAGCCACCTTAACCTCCCTGACTCTGTCTGAACTTGTTAGAGGTTCATAGCATCATGTAAGCTTCCTTCACAGCATTTGCCAAGGTTGCGATTTCTCATGTGTTTGTGGTATGACTTGATTTTTTTTTTTTTGTCTTCCTGACTAGACTCCAAGCTACATGACAACTGAAACTATCACAATATCTCTAGTCCCTGATATTTAGATGCTAGATAAGCAATACTATTTTCTTATTTTTTTCTTTTCCTTTTTTGAATGAAAAAGCTTAAATTGTCTGGAAGTTAGAATGTCTTCAATATTTTAAGCCATCTTCCCGGAAAGTATTTTGCTCGACAGAATGTTTAATAAATAGTGAGTGAGTATGAGTTCAAAATGATTCTTCCTGGAAAATAACTAAAACCCAGATATTCTGTGTGGCCAATTAAATAGAAATTCTTATGACATAAGAGGACATTGAGCTGGGGCATGCAGGAATAACTTCCTTTCTGAAAGCTGAGGGGCCTGCAAGGAGAATACCTAAAAGGAAGCCATTCCACCTGTCATCAGGTGAGCTGAGAGAATGCCACAGGCAGAACCAAGATTCTCAGCAGAAAGTCATTTTGAATGCTTCAATCACCAGGCTAATGGGTGAATGAAGCCCTGAAGACATACAGCATATAACATGGCTAAAAATCCCAGTGCTTAACATGGAGGATTTTGTTTAATCTTCACAAAAAGTAACATAATCATATGAGGTAGGTATGCTTATCTCTATTTTACAGAAGAGCAGGCTCTGCTGATAAGACAAAGAGGCAGCTTTGGAACTGAGGCTTGTCTAACTCCTCCGCTAATATTCTTTCCTTTATACCAGTGGTTCTCAAACTTGACTGACATTGGGATCACTTGGGGAATTTTGGGTTCCATGCTAAAAAATTTGTGTTTAACTTTTTAGGAATTTAAAAAGATCCCTCCAGGTGATTCCACTGTGCAGCCAGGGTTGAGAACCACTGCACTCCAGCCTCGGCAACATAGCAAAATGTCACCTCAGAAAACAAAACAGAAAATACCCAGAGTACTACAATCGTAGTGGGTGGAATAATGGCCCCTAAAAATATATGTGCAAGTCCTAACCCCTAGAACTTGTAAATTTGACCTTATTGGAAAAAGAGTCTTTGTAGATATAATTAAGGATCTTGAGATAAAACCATAGTGAATTTAGGATGAGCCCTTACTCCAGTGACAAGTATCTTTGTAAAAGAAAAGCCAAGGGAGACTTGAGACGAAGAGACATGGAGGAGAAGGCCAGGTGGAGATGGAGGCAGATATTGACATTATGCTGTCATAAACCAAGCAACATCTGGAACCACCAGAAGCTGGACGAGGCAAGCAAGGATGCCCCCTGATGTTTTCAGAGGAAACATGGCCTGCTGACACCTTGATCTCAGACTTCCAGCCTCTAGAACTGAGACAATACATTTCTGTTGTTTTAAGCCACTGCGTTCGTGGCAATTAGCTACAGAAAACCTGAGAGATTAATACAAAGCTCCACCTCCAGAGTTTCTGAGTCAGCAAGTCTTGGATGGGACACAAACATTTGTATGCCTGGCAAGTCCCCAGGTAATGCTGATGCTGCTGGTTCAGGGACCACACTTTGAGAACCACTGCTCCTTATCATGCAGTCTTTATCCAGCTGTTCAGCTTTCGCAGCCTCTGCTTGTAACCTTTCTATTCAGGGATGTGAAAAATAACTAAAGGAAAAAGAAATCTGTAAGTCTTCTAGATTTCAATGATCATTGTTGCTGATTCACTGTGTTATTGATCTTTATGAAATGGAGGTGATGCTCTCAGAAACTAGTGCGGTTCCTGAAAGTGGACCAGGAGTTCAATGTGGAATACTTTTGTTCTCCCTTTACAATATCACAGGAATTACATAAGCAATTGTGTAATGCACAAAACACCAGAAGCCGCTCAGCTTCCTGCCAGCAGACCTATCTATGTGAGTTTCTGCCTGTTTTCTCTGCCTGTCTTTTGGTTGGTTGCAAATAATGAGGTGCCTCTTCGCCTGCTCAGCGTTCTTACCTCCTGCTATGTTGGGCATCCTATTGACTCACCTCCTCAGAGATGTTGCTCCACCAATATCTAGTATCTAGTGTTCTGTGGCTCTTATCCATTTCCATTAACAGATACTCAAGATTTTAATGTCTTAAAATGAGTCTTTCTTTAGCCCCCCATCCTTCAGACACCCCCGTAATATTTCCTTTCCATCTTGCCTGCAAATTTAGTATTGAAATATGCTGCATTTTCTTTCTTCACCCTACTCACTCTTATACCCCAGTAAGCTGCACAGCACCTTTCTAGGCACTCTTTTTTCATGGCTTTGAGATCTGTCTTCCTTTTCCTACTCCTTATATCTGGTTGTTCCTCAGTTGTCTTCTCTGGGCTTTCCTCTACTCGTGCAACTCTCTTCCTGAGTTATTCATCTACTTACAGGGTTTCATCTTTGCTGATGACTCTCTGATCTTTATTTGCAACTTAGATCATTTTCTCTTGAGCTCTAGTCTCTAGTATCCAAAGTGTCTCCACGGACACTTTAAAGTCAATGTATGCATGCCCCAAATCCTCCTCCCCCTTCCTATCTCCCAATCTGTTCCTAGTCCTGTGTATTGCTTTCTCAGGGGTGCTGCTTGTACCTAGTTTCTCCAATAACATAATTTGCAGATGATAACACCAACAAATACTTATGGAGTGCCTCCCACCTGCTAGGCACTGTTCTATATGCAAGAAATAAGTGGTGAACAAAGAAGTTGTGATCCTGGCCCTAGTCTTGGATTCCTCTCTCGCCTTCTCCACCTCTTCCCATACCCAGGTAATCATCGAGGCTGGCCAGCTCTCCCCTTTGACATTATCTGAACCCACCTACACTTTCAATCTCAGTCTAACCAACTGCCATCTCTTGCCTGGATGAATGTAAGTGCCTCCTAAATACTAGATATCGGTGGAGCAATATCTCCGAGGAGGCAAGAGTTAATAGGATGTCTAACATAGTTCTTCCTGCCCTGCCTGTCTCTCTTCTCCAATACGTCCTCCACACTGAAGACACAATGGCCTTTGAAATTGTAACTATGATTACACCACCCTCTTGCTTAAAAGCTGGCGATGTTTTAACATTGCCTTTAGGAAACAGTCCATCATCCTTACGAGGGTTTATCAGGCCCATTGTGATATGGTACCAGCTTGTTATCCAGGAATCTTGCTACAACTCCCCCTGCCCCCACCACATTTTTGTTCTTGTTATAATGAAATGCCTTCAATTCTTAAAACATACCACATTCTCTTCCATTTCAGGAACCTTTCGGGTGTGTTTGTCTCTAATTCTTCCCTTCCTGTATTCATCTTCTCCTCACCACATTCATCACTCACATTTTACCAGTCACCCTGTAGATCTCTGCTCACAAGTCATTTACTCAGGGAAGCCTTTCTTGATTCTTTAAGTCTGAGTCAGTCCCATTTCTTGGTACTACTGTGGTCCCCTGAGTAGCCTCAATGGTGAAAAAGCTCCTTCCCGACTGCTTGGTAATTACCTGTTTACTCATCTCTATTCCCCATTAGCAGGCATTATGTTTACATTTTTTTTTTTTTTTTTGAGATGAAGTCTCACTCTATCGCCAGGCTGGAGTGCAGTGGTGTGATCTCGGCTCACTGCAACCTCTGTCTCCTGGGTTCAAGCGATTCTCCTGCCTCAGCCTCCCGAGTAGCTGGGACTACAAGCGCGTGCCACCACACCTAGCTAATGTTTGTATTTTTAGTAGAGATGGGGTTTCACCATGTTGGCCAGGATGGTCTCGATCTCTTGACCTCATGATCTGCCTGTCTCGACCTCCCAAAGTGCTGGGATCACAGGCATGAGCCACCAAGCCCGGACGATGTCTACTTTTTATTCCCCATACCTAGCACAGTGGGTGGCACATGGTAAATACTCAATAAATACTTGTTGCCTAGATCATCGTTTCACAGCCTCAACACTACTGACATTCTGGGCTGGATAATCCTTGTTGTGGTGGCTGTCCTGTGCACTGTAGGATATTTAACAGCACCCCTGTGTCCTCTACCCACTAGAAAGCAATAGTTCCCCATTTCGCAGTTGTGACAAACTAAAGTGCCCCTAGACACTGCCAAAGGTGTCCTGAGAAGCAAAATAACTCCTGGTAAGAACCTTTGGCCTAGAGGGATGAGCTCACTGTTAGCAGATTATGAGCTTAGACGTGAGGAGGCAGTGGCATAGGCAAAACATGGACAGACTGGACTTACAGACTGGACACAGGCTCTGAGGTGGGATGATACTTCAAGGCCCAAGTTAGGGGCATACTAGGGAGTAAATAGTCACGCAAGTGAAACGTGGCCTAGGGTGTGTGGACACAGCCGCAGCAGGAAGTGAACACAGAGAGACAGAATAGCATTAATTGTACCCAGCTTTCAACTAGACACACTAGGCTCGAGTTTAAGCAGCTCCTATTAGCAACTGTATGACATTCGATGAGTTATTTAACCCTTCTGAATTTTGGTTCTCACATGCATAGACAAGAATATTGCTGTATGGATTAAATAATATATCTATGAAATATTGGCTCAGAGCATTATACATAATAAATACATGACAAATGTTTATTGTTATTACTATTATCATCATTGCTGTTATTATTAATATCAGGACGTCCAGTAAAGTGAAGAGTTCTGGCATGAGGGTCTGGTGTCTGGAAGTAGCTGACATGAGAAACAATTGGTATGCAGATGGGAAATCAGTAAGAGAGAGATGCCGACCTGGGGTCGGGGAAGGATTCACTTGTAGGGAGAGCAGAAGCATGGGGCACCGCTTCTGCCATTGTAAAATCCTGGTACCTTTAGGTAGAGTGCAGACACATTGGAAAAGTCATTAAAAATGGATCTTGATGCAAACTGGGGAATCCCAAGTATTCTATATTTACTTAAAAAAAAGTAGTACTTATTCAACCAAAGGAAAAGAATCCCAACACAAAGCATAACAATGTTTATTAAAATAAATTTTACTAAAACACCAGGGGTTTGGTCTAGGTCCTGCTGCCCACTGCACAGAGAGCCAATCACCAAGACAACAATTACTACCAAGGAAGAAGGCTTCAATCGCATGCTGCAGCCGAGGAGATGGGAGATCAGTCTGAAATCCACCTCCCTGACTGACTAAAATCAGGGGTTTATATAGCAGGGAAGAAATGTAACTATGTATGGGAAAATAGGAACTACATAGGGTTAAGGAAGCAATTATGATGAAGGAGGGGCTTGGCCTCTCATTGTGTAGATGAGATAACCTTGTGGGTTTTAGTTCTTTGATACTTTTTGAGAGGCCTGGGGGTCCATTCCTAAAGATGAAACTCAGTTAAAACAAATGTAAGTTTCAAGCTTTAAGACAAAAAGGGTCAATTTCTATGTTTACCCAAAAAAACTATCTATGGGACTATTGTGTTGGTTTTAGGAAGAGCATCAGAAAAAATAAATAAAAAGGTAAATCCAAATAAATACTGAAAGAGTAAAACAACAATAATAATGTCTTTAGGAGATTAAAATATATATGCATTAAAATGCCTAACAAATATGGCATAAAATTAAGGAGTAATAGGCTCAACTGAAGGTTCTCAGCTTCTAGAATTGTTTGGGATATGGTAAAGGTATTAATTTATATCATACTCTAATAAGTCAAATATGCATGTTTTAAACTTAAGAGTAATCCCTAAATGAAGAGTGAAATAATATATTACTAACAGGCTAATAGAAGGATACAATGTAATAATACATGTAGTTTTTATTAATCCAAGAAATGATTTAAAAAGAGAAGAAACACACATGCACAAACATACATAAACACACACACACAGAGAGAGAAAGAAAATAGATTAAATTTTTTATAAAAACAAATGTTATCAAAATTTATAATATGCAGCCAAAGTCATCTTAAAGGGAAATTTGTTGCTTTAAATGCATGTACTAGAACAGAAAATATTCTAAAAATTAATCTTCAAAAATTACTTGAGTAATTTCTCAGGAAGTTAGATAAAACTTTAGTAAATTGAAAGGAGATAGATGGAAATAATAAACATAAGACTAATAAAACAAACATATAATAAGGAAAATAAACAAAACCAAAAGTTTTTTTGAGAAGACCAATAACATTTGTTTCTAATAAGGATTGATTAAAATTTTTACAAGGTACACATTATTAATAACAAGAATAACAAGAAAGAGAAGGGATATCACTACTGATCCAATAGATGATATTAGGAACAATTACTTGACGTAAATATAGTGTAAATAAGATGAACAGATTTGTGGAAAAATAACAGGAAAGGCAACACAAAAAGACATAAAAAATCTGAAACATTCTGTATTTATATGAGAAATTGCATCTGTAATTAGAACCTCCCTGTTTAAGAAATATCCAGGTCTAGATGTCTTAACAAGTGAATTCTTCCAAACATTAAAAAATAAATTAATTAAACAAATAAAAAATTATTGATTAAGGTAAACATAAAATAATTCATAGAGAAAATTATTCTTCAGCTTAATTTAAAGAAATTGACTTACATGGATTGAAGATGGAAAGTGGGATGTTATTCAAAGAAAAAGAAAACACGTATAAGTGCACATAGCTAGGAAATGGTGGGGGTTGGGAGAAATCACATACAGCAGTCTCCCTTACGTAAAGTTTCATTTTCTGCAGTTCCAGTTGCCCGCAGTTGCACTGTCTGAAAATATTAACTGGAAAATTCCAGAAATAAACAATTTATAAATTTTAAATTGCACACTGTGATGAAATCTCATGCCTTCCTGCTCTGTCCCATGCAAATCATTCCTTGGTTCAGCATATTCATGCTGTATATACTACTTGCCCATTTAGTCACTAAGTAGCCCTCTAGGTCATGAGATCAAGAAACAAACAGCATACATATATAGGGTGCCATAACATCCTCGGTTTCAAGCATCAACTGGGGGTCTTGGAACGTATTTCCTGAGGATAAGGAGGGACGGCTCTATTTGGGGCATGGTGAGAGATGAATCTTACCGAAGGGAAGAAACCAGATTGCAGAACTCCCTGAAATAAATTAGTTAGAAAGGTAGAAGGCTAATGGATAGAAGACTGAAAGCGGTAGAATGAAAACTATTGATCTGAACCAATAAGTAACAGCAAATCTCTGAGATTCATAATATAAGAAGCAGCCAAATGAACGCAGTACGTAAGATAAATATTATTGTAAGCTTTATGTGGGAAAGATTTGTGAGCAAGGTAGAGCAAGGAGAGGCACTCAGAGATGGTTGCAGGCATCAAGGTATGAGGGGGAGAGATCCTGGCCTGGAATGATATCTCCAGGAACTGCAAAGAAGGTTTGAATCTGTGGATTATTTTTGAGGCGTGAGAGACAAAGGAGCAAGCAACCAAGGAGACAGAAAGGCAAAAGGGAAGAAGGAGAGTGAGTAGGAGCCCTGCCTCTGGGAATCAAGGTGGATCTCTGTTAAACCTTGATGTAACAGACCGCTTGTCCCAAGGTCACCTTGAATATTTTTATTTGATCCACACAGTGCTGGTAGAGTGTCTCTCCTTCTGGACAACCCTCCCTGCTTCTCCTTTTCCTCATCCCATGGCTGCAATCCGAGCTAAAACAAAAAAAACATCTGTAGGGCATTCTGCTAAGTCTGCAGTGACCTTGTTATGGCTGATTCGCCTGACTAGGTTTGGGACAGATTTTCCAAAATGAAGCACAGTTTTGTGTATAATAAATGCATGCACAGATATCTTTATTACTCTGTGAATTATTTTTTTCTAATCCAATAAATATTACGCAAAGGTCAGGGTCAGAGTGAGATGGATTCGCCTCACCAGCAGACTGTAAACACTCACACAATGAAACTAGAAAAGGCAAAAGGAGCACTAATGGTGTTCATCCTTAATATCTGCATTTTTTTTGCTAATGCTCACATTTTATAAAACTGAAGTTCAAGGCAACTTTTTCAATTTATGAGCAATAAGGAGCAAATGGAGAAGATCATTCACGAAAATGAGAAAGTTTTCCAATTATCAGTGACATTCGTCTTTAAACCCCCAAAAGCATGGTTTTCCAGAAATGTTGCAGTCAATGTGAAAATGTAACTATTGATTTTACTTTTATGGCAACATTGTAGGACAGAACTTTAGAAACTGAGCATCAAAAAAGGTTTTAGAGATTAGTTTTTTTCAAGCCATTCATTTCTACAAATGATTCCTAGGTGACTTCAGTGACTTGCCTAAGGTTGTGCAGGTTGGGATATTTATAAAAGTAATAGTACAGGTATTTCTGGTGGCCTCTGAGAGAGAGAGAGAGAGAGAGAGAGAGAGAGAGAGAGAGAAATTTCTCATTCAGTCTCTGGAGTTTTTTTTTTTTTTTTTTTTTTTGAGACAGAGTCTCGCTTGGTCGCCCAGGCTGGAGTGCAGTGGCGCCATCTCCACTCACTGCAAGCTCCGCCTCCCAGGTTCACGCCATTCTCCTGCCTCAGCCTCACAGGTATTTGGGTCTACAGGAGCCCGCCACCACGCCCAGCTAATTTTTTGTATTTTTAGTAGAGGCGGGGTTTCACCGCATTAGCCAGGATGGTCTCGATCTCCTGACCTCATGATCCTCCTGCCTTAGCCCCCCAAAGTGCTGGGATTACAGGCATGAGCCACCGTGCCCGGCCTCTGGAGATGTTTTTCATTTGTTACTATCAGCCCACAAACATGTGACTCTACTTTCTAGAATTGCTTTTTAGACCAAAAGAAAACCAAGAAGTTGTTCAAATTATAGTGATTACATCTGAAAGACTCTCTTTCTCCTCTCCAGCCATTTGAGAAAAAGAGAAAAATCTAAATCAAGACACAAACCAGAAAGAAGTGCAGCTGTCTTTTTTTTTTCTGTCTCTCTTTTGAAATTTTGTTAAACCAAATAACACCTCTGGATCTCAGATCCTCCCCTGTAAAAATGAAACTGCAGGATTAAGTTGGAGCTAAGGGCTCATCACCTATCCCAGACTTTGTAATGCCTTTTCTCTCTGGTTTCACCAGGAGGATAGAAATGCACTTTGCATAAAGCAGCCAATTTTCTGCCAACTTAGATGGCCTTTGGTGGCAGAAATAATGGAGCAGGGCAGTGGTCGAGACCCGTGATTTTATAGGCAGGGCTTTCTTTTCGACTTTATGTGGATCATGTGTTTTAACCTGCAGTCCTGCAATTCCTGGTTGTCCTATAAGATTGCCTGAAGTCTCCTTCTCCCCACAGCTAACCAACAGGGTCTCAGGGGCAGACACCCCTACCCCAGGCTGTGAGATAAATCCAGGCTTAGCCTCCAATCTCTCACTCTGAGTTTGGCTGACCTTCTTCACACATTATAAATGGGGACTTGCTTTGTTTCCAAAACCTGAACCCATCTATGTTCAGGTTTCTAAACTGACTCTCCACCCTGTTTCCCTGTGTCAATATCCTGGTCTAGTAACCAGCAGAATATACATCACACTTAGAATATGACCAGTTTGTTCTTACTGTTCTCTTACCGATCATGCGCCTTCATCACCTCCCTCCACACCATCTCCATGGAGTGGAGTTATTCCCCTGAATATCAGTGACTTGGGGCCCAGCTATTGTTAAGACATTTTCCAGATGTCCCTCTGGTTTCTCTGGATCACCCAGCACTTCCTAGAATCTTCTCTGCCATGTTGTGTTTTCCAGTCACATACTGTATTTCAACTTCCATCTTTCTGGAGCCCCTCATTCTGGCTGCTGGCCTGAACAACTTACTACCTGGGCTGCCCATAATACATTCTCCAGGTACCATGCTCCTCCTGCCTCATGGTTTCTCCAACACCAGAGGAGAGTGAAGGATCTCCCTCTTCTGTGTTTTTTCCTTTTTGTTCATACATATTGGGAATTATTTGTGGATAAGACCAGATGTGTTAACTTTTTAGTATCTGGTGTTTAACCTAGTGTCTGCCATTTAGTGCATGCTCAATAAATACAAGTCAAATGAATGAAGTAATGTCCTAGCATTCATTATCTTGCCCAACCCACTGCAGTTAACACTTCTATGCCATTTTCTGTCTTAAGAGCTGCATCTCCTTTCTGCTAGCACTTCTCCTTTATATCACTCACTCAACAATAACCCAGGCATCTCTAGCAACCAAGGACACTCCAATCAAAGATTACATTTTTATCTTATTTTCCAAAACTTACTTATTTATCCGGAAATGATCAACCAGCCCTGTGGAAACCAATAGAGTTTCATTATCTTTCTAAAGAAAAGCAAAAAAAAATGCGTATGCAAGGCAGAATTAAAACTGAATAAACATATACGTCTAAATGAATCATCCTTTTTTGCATTAGACCTGGATAAATGACATTTATGTGGTGCGGGTATAGTGCAGTTATCTGTCACTGGAGACGTCTAAGGATGGCAATCAGTGTGAGTACAAGTTCTCAACAGCACATAGCACAGGAACAGCTGCAGAAATAATAAATACTAAAAACATTGCCTTCTTCACCCCCAAACCCATATTTATCAGACGTGAAGTAGGTTGAAGGAGAAAAAATAATAATTGCCAATCAGGAGGCACTTTACATACATAATTTTATAATGTAAGTCAGAGCATTTTCCTCCTGACTGCCAATGGCTTTTCTCATCATGCAGAGTAAAGGCACAGACCTGAAGGTGGCCTCAAAGGCCATGCGGAGTCTGCAACGGCTTGCCTCCCTCACCTCATCTCTCATTACTTGCTCCCCCTGCTTGCTCCTCTCCAAACACACTGGTCTCTGCTGATTCTCGAATGTTCTGGTACACACCTGGCTCAGGGCCTTCCTACTTGCTTTTCCCTCAGCCAAACATTCTTTGTATTAGTTTGTTAGAGTTGCCACAACAAAGTACCAAAAGCAGATGCGTAAGATCACAGAAATTTATTGCTTCATGATTCTAGAGGCCAGAAGTCTGAAGTCAAGACATCAGCAGGGGCATCCGTCCTCTGTAGGCTCTAGGCAAGGATTCTTCCTCGCCTCTCCTGGCTCCTGGTGTTTGCCAGCAATCCTTGGTGTTCCCTGGCTTGTAGTAACATCACTCCAGGCACACTGCAGGCATTCTTTGTGTCTTCACATCATCTTCCCTCTGTACCTGTTTCTGTGTCTAAATTTCTACTTTTTATAAGGTCACCAGCATATTCCATTAGGGCCCACCCTAATGACCATGTTAAACTCAATGACCTCTGTAAAGACCTTGTTTCCCAAGAAGGTTACACTCAGAATTACTGGTCTTTGGAACTTTCATCTATCTCTTTGAGGAGACACAGTTCAACCCAAGTCACTCTTCTCCCAAATATCCCCACAGCCTACTCTCTCACCTCTTTATTGATCAACTTCTCAGTGAAGCCTTCTATAACTCCCCATCACAGTTCCATCTCTCTCTGCACCATCATTCCCTGCCCCCTTCCCACGTTTTATGTTTCTTCTCTGGCTCTTACCACCATCTCACCTGCTATTTATTCTCCTTAATAATCTTGTCTTTGTTTATCTCCCCTGATAAATTATCAACTCCCCAAAGGCAGTGTTTCTGTCTGCTCGGTTCACTGCCATTTCTCCAGTGCCCAGAACAGTGCCTGATCCATGGTAGGCAATCAACAGATGTGCATTGAATACATAAACTTTAATCCTCAAGTCAGCCTTGAAGTTATCAAAATGGTTGTCATCCACATTTTATAAATAAGGCAAGTGATGCTGGAAAAGATGAAGTATCTTGCTCAAGATAATATTGCTAATGAGTTTTGGAGCTGGGATTTGAACCAGGTCAAATCGACTCTAAAGTTTGTGGTCTATCCATTATGCTGTGCTGCCCAAGGCAGAAGGAGGGACTTCCTGCAGATGTGTGAGGAATTCTGCAGCTGCTTAAATTACTGCTTTTTCTTCCTCTGGATAAAATAGCACTTGAAAAACATCATCAAAATGTAAATCTTCAAGTCTAGGTAAGTGGTCTGGCTCAGCTAGCAATGTCGCTCAGACAACTGCGACATTAGAACACACTGTGTGTGTCTCTACATTTTTTTTTGTTTTAAATCCAATTAGGCAAACTATTCTTTGGCTCAGGTGATGGTTTTATTTCTCTGGGCAGATTAGAAAACCAAGAAGCATATGCAGTCTGAGTTCCCAGACAGCTGGGAGTTAGGTGTGTATTGCTGCTTTTAAATTGTAGGCACAAGGGCTTCCAAACCAGAGTGAAACTTGAATGTCAAATGAACAGATGCTGTGGTTATAACCCCCAAACCCTCACTTAACCAGCAAACACACGTACTACATTTCCACAGGCAAAGAAAGTTAAACAATGATCTCACTAAATCAGCCCCAAACCTGCCAGTGAGGCAAAAGAAGTTGTTTCTATTTGAATTATCCAGATTGCCTGTCAGCATGGATCACATCCACTGGATAATTGCTGATCTTTTCTCTTTGCTCTGCTTGCATGGCCACAGTCTACAAGTCATTGTTCAGTGGAAACCACCTATTACTGACATGTTTCTGTCATGGCAATGATCCTGAAATAAGCCAGGGACATTAACCAGAGCTGATAGTCATGTGTGGCTGTGTCTACCATCATCAAAAGTGGGTCTAATCAATGGTGCGACACAGAAAGAGATGGTCAGGCTAGTCACAAAACAGGTTTGCAATATATAGTTCCATATCTGGATAATATTAATAAAAAGAAAATTGTAAAAAAAAATTAACCAGAAAACAAGGAAAGCGACCCAAGTCCTAGAATTCAATATTATTATCCAATAAAATCAGAAAAAGAACAAAATGGGATAAAAATTTCCAGTCTTTGGCTATACAGGTTGGAAGAACTATGGATCTGAGTGCTATAGATTAGCTGACTATGTTGATCAGATTTTTTGGATATTCTTTATGCAGGTCTGGTTAACTTGTCCGACAGTAAATTGCACATGGTAAACGTCACAACATGGGAAAGAGTTGACTCTCCTGTATTCTAAACTAAACCTCATAGGAAGGAAGTTCCTTGGTCTGTGCTGTACAGACCTTCTAGCCTAGAGAAGTCCCACGTACCTGGGAATGACTGCAGATCTTGTTTCGCACAGCAGATGGAATCCAGGGAAGGGAAGGCAGGCTGCTGCTGGAGAGACATGGAACATTGTGTTAAGCCTGTGCTGACCTGTCATTGGTTCAACTAACAATGGGCCATTGCTTTTCTCCCCGACATATTCCTTTTTAACCCCCCCACCCCCAACCCCCCAGGGAATCAGGCCTTGATATTAGTCATATTTCCCAATTCCGTGTGAAGTTGGTCAGAGGCCGAAAATGACTTTTAGTGTGGCGGGTGTTAAATTTTGGTTTATAGCTCTCACTTTGCACCTCTCTAGCTTGGGTAGGCCTTAGAGATTACTGTATATTTTAGTACAGTTTCATCATTCCCATATATTGCAGTTCCAGGGAATATTGCTTTCTTAAGCCTACAGACTTTTATTATTCTATCCAAAGATGAGGATAAAGTTTCAAAATTTATTGCCCAACCTGCTTCTGTGAAATACATCCACATCCGCAAGCACGCAGCTGAATGCGCCAAATTGCATGGACATGCACGAATCAGTCAATCACCACCTGTGAATATACAAGCAATTGATGTGTTGTGAAGATGCAGATGGTTACGCGTGGATGCATATTACAAGCTCCTTTTAACAGAGAAAACACTTTCAAGACAACGAGTGCTGTGTTACAAACAAAACATTTGGACTAGTGTTTCTACTTAAAAAGGAGTTTCCTACCATTGTCCTTAACGGGTAGAAATGTTTTAAAACTCAGGCTACTCTTAAGATGTGGAAAGCACTGTTAAGACAAAACCAAATAAAATGTTACAGTTCCAAAACTTACAGCAGTTCCTTCTGTTTCTTAGTTATATGGAATGGTTTAGAAAAAAAACATGTTATTCATGAAAATTTTTGTTTAGAAAACACCTGTGTTGGATTTAGAACAGCCATATCTGGTCAACGAACAGACCTTCCAGTGACTCACCTTGTGGTTGCAAATACTATCCTCAAATGTAGAAAATTTCTAAAGAAAAATGTGAATTCTACTGAGAATATTAAACAGAGGACTTATTAGATTAAAAACACCATGAAATACTAGCTACCACAAAATCTAATGTGCCAGAAAACAGGAGATATGGAACTTCAAAACGATTTTAATATTGTTTTAAGTAAATATTTATTGGGTAAGGGCAACTGTTCTGTATCACTCCCCTATTTAGAAAAAACTTGATCCTTTACAAAGTACAAGCAGTGATCCAAGGGGTTGGGACTTACTCCACAGAGCAGGTGACCATGATGGTGGCTCTTGTGGATTTTTCACTTTTATTAACCCCTTGAGAAGTAATGAATCTGGCTACATCTAAATAGAGGTCTGGCCTGTGCCCTTGGTTTATGGGGAGATAACCTTGAAACCCTTGGAATTTCGCAAGCTTTAAAAATATATATAAAATGTAAGTATTTGTTTTTCATGGTGGGCCACTGAGACCACACCTAAGAGTTGATTTAATAAGATGACTCAGGGTGAAGCTGGCCACACCTGATAGTCTTTGAGAGAGGGGGTAGGACGTTGGTGATGCCAGAAAGGCCGACTGTATGATTCGAGGGTGGAGGCTTTTGGTAAGGAAGTATCAGTAGACCTGGAGACTGAGTTCAACCTACGTCATGAGACCTCAATAAACACTATGGATTCAAAGCTTCTGTGAGCTTCACGGGTGAGCAATACTCTGTGCGTATTGTCACATATCAATGCCCAGTGGGGCAGTGCATCCTGAAGATGATGGAGGATTGGTGTTAAGAACCATCTTAGACTCCACCCTATGTGTCTCTTTCTTTGTCTGGTCCTCATTTGTATCCTTTCCCTGTCATAAACATGGCTATGAGTATAATAGCTTTTAGTGAGTCCTTTTAGTGACTCTTTCTAGTGGATTATTTAGCTTGAGGGTAGTTTGGGACAACTCCTGAACTTGCAGGGTCAGAAATCTTGGGCAGACTTGTCAGTCTGGAGGACTGGGCCCTTCACCTCAAAGTATGGCTCATTCCCAGGTACCCCTACTTTTGTGGATGTCTAGAACTGAGCCAGACTAACAAAACCTATTCGTGAAATGTTAATTTGAGGACTGGGGAGGAAGGTCATGTCTCAGACTCATAGCGGAGATGACCCCTGCAAGTGAGGTTCCCATGCCCATATGAACCTGGTAGGAGTAGAGCTAGAAAGAAAAAATATAGCTGGCCTTTCATATCCATGGAAATCAGTTCTAGGACCTCCAGTGGACACCCAAATTTGCAGATGCTCAAGTCCCTTATATAAAATGGTCTAGTAGGCCATGCATGGTGGCTCATGCTTGTAATCTCAGCACTTTGGGAGGCCAACATGGGTGAATCACCTGAGCCCAAGAGTTTGAGACCAGCCTGGGCTACACAGTGAAACCTCGTCTCTGCAAAAAGATACAGAAATTAGTCAGGCGTGGTGGTGTGTGCCTGTGGTCCCAGCTACTCGGGAGGCTTAGGTGGGAGGATTGCCTGAGCCTCAGAGGTCAAGGCTGCAGTAAGCAAAGACTGCACCACTGCACGCCAGCCTGGGTAACAGAGCAAGACCCTGTCTCAAGTAAGTAGGTAAGTAAGTAATAAAATAAAATAAAAGTAAAGAAAAGTGGTATACTACATACTGTTTACTGTTTTTTTCCTACCCAAGGCCCAGGGAGCATGGAAGGACTAGCCAAACCTTGGTTACATGGGAAAAGGACGAGGAAGGAGACTAGCATAGGAAGACAAAGGAAAAGCCAGAAAAGAAATATAAAGAAGAGACAGAAAGATGTTGCAAGTTACTGCATCAAGTGATTCTTGTATTGCCAAATCCACCATGCAGCTAGAGAGATTTCAGCTAGAGAGATTTTAGCTGAGAGATTTCAGCTAGAGAGATTTCATATTTGGACATCCACTTATTACATTACAGATGTTTTAGTTTTAATAATATTTTTACTGAAACATTTCAGAGAATCATATTGATGGAAGTACTATTATACTTCTAAGTGTTGGAGGAAGGAGCAGAAATTACACATTTTTTGGCAGATATGGAAATGGAAGTCTAGGGAAATTAAATCGCCTGTGGTCATATTCTCCCTTGCAGACAAATATTTTAGAGAATAAAGTCTCAGAAGAAATTCCTCATCACTGACAACAACAACAACAACGATTCCAAGAAGAAGCTAGAAAATGGGAAATGAAATGATGTGGAGAAACCAATGAGGAACAACGGTGTTTTTTAAAATTAAAAACTGAAATATACACCTGCTAAAACGGGGAAATTAAACAAACACTGTATGATGGAGGGTAATAAAAGAAAATATTTCACCAAGAAAAAATTTCAGGATTATATCAAAGTGTTCCTTTGAAATTGATAAAAATCCTTTTCTTCATTTCTTCTCTCTCCCTCAGAAGCTTTATCCTTTCATTAGAAGTCAGCCATGTGCGGGAATTATTGATAGCTGCAATATTTCATCTTGTCTTTTTAAATAAGTCACTGCAATGCATGCACATCCTGTGATCTGTGCTGAGGTTTCTAAGAAATGTTCTCCGTTTCTTGGTGCAGCTGTTCCATGGTTGACCCCAGTTGCATTAGTGATATTAGGAGAGGTGGGTTGAGTTGTTAAAGGATTAGCTTGGTTTGCTGGTCACTGATGATGAAGGGAAAAGCTGAGGAAATATTTTTAGCCAAAATTTTAGCCCATGTACTTTGTTATTTGTTTGGATGGCAACCCATGAGTGAAATAGTATTGTAATGACTACTGGACAAATGAAGGCTTGAAAGAGTTACTGAAAGTCATACTCGTATCAAATGGCAGAGTTGAAACTCAAACATGCTGCCACTATCCACTGTTTGCTAGAACTCTCAAGTCCCTGTATCTGCAATTGAGGAAAGAATAGTATTACACAATCTTGCACTGCCCACTGCCAGCCCTAAGCACAGTAGATACTACTGCCTTTCATTTTACTGTAGGACAAAATCTCTTGGTCTATGCCAGGGACATCAGTGTAAAAACTAGATGCATAGGAAAAGTAGGTCACAGAAAGTTAAGCATGTCGTGTCCCTGCCCTCCTTATCATCCTCTGAACCAACCCTCTCCATTCCTCCGCTGAAGCCCCTCTCTGCTCTTCCTTTTTCCGTATCTGGATGGCTCTCCTCCTGCCTGGCTTCATTTCCAAATCTTTCCCCTAAAGCCCAACTGAAATCCCACTTTTCCATGAAATTCTTCCTGAATCATTCAATCTTTATCTTTTCCCGTTTTCTCTGAACCCCTGTCAAGTAAAATGTAGCCATTGTGCAGTGGAAATTGCATCAGGCTGGGAATCAGAAGTCTCTGGTTATAGTCCTTCTGTTCTGAAACCGACAAGTTCAGGCTCCTTAAACAAGTCATGTAACTTCTTCAGGTCTGTTTCTGCTGCTGCAAAATGGGATGGGGAACATCAGAATAAATGTTCTTTAAGGGCCATAATCAAAATGAATAATACGTAATTTTTTCACATAGTTAGGTACACATGGTTAGATACATGGTTAGAACATTTATCAGGACTACTTCATTCGTAAATTTTGTTTCTACAGTAAAATTTATAAGCCATATTATAAATTTCCTTTATAACCCCACAAGGCCTGGTTCATTGATAAATTTGGTTATACTGGCCGGGCACAGTGGCTCACGCCTGTAATCCTAGCACTTTGGGAGGCTGAGGCGGGTGGATCACCTGAGGTCAGGAGTTCGAGACCAGCCTAACCAACATGGAGAAACCCTGTCTCTACTAAAAATACAAAATTAGCCAGGCGTGGTGGCACATGCCTGTAATCCCAGCTACTTGGGAGGCTGAGGCAGGAGAATCGCTTGAATCTGGGAGGTGGAGGTTGCGGTAAGCTGAGATTGCACAATTGCACACCAGCCTGGGCAACAAAAGTGAAACTCAGTATCAAAAAAAAAAAATTGGTTATACTTTGATTGATTGGAAAATCACTTTGTGGGCCAGGCACAGTGGCTCACGCCTGTAATCCCAGCACTTTGGGAGGCCGGGGCGGGCGGATCACGAGGTCAAGAGATCAAAACCGTCCTGGCCAATGTGATGAAACCCCCGTCTCCACTAAAAATACAAAAATTAGCCGGGCATGGTGGCGTGTGTCTGTAGTCCCAGCTGCTCAGTAGGCTGAGGCAGAGGAATCGCTTAAACCTGGGAGGCGGACGTTGCAGTGAGCCGACATTGTGCCACTGCACTCCAGCCTGGGACAGAGCGAGACTCCATCTCAAAAAAAAAGAAAAAGAAAGAAAAATCACTTTGTTGACATATACATTCAGTCTTTTGAGGGGGTCTCTGAATGGAATTAAAGATGATCGTGAACTTGTAAATGAATTTTCTCCTATGTACAGACAGTATATGTATTTATAATGATAATAGCTAACACTGACTGAGCACATGTTCACTACCAGTTTCTGTTCAAAGTGCATTTTAGTATTCATTCATTTATTTTCTACAACACTAATCTGAGATATGAGCACTGTTATCTCTGTTTTTATTAATGAGGGAACAGTAACATATAGGACTTGAGTATGTTGCTCAGTATCACAAAACTAGTAAGTGTCAGACTCAGAATTTGAACAGGCATCTGACTCCAGAACCTGTACTTTCCTTCACTGCTCTACACTTACATTGTGTTGTGTACAAAGGAGCACCATGCCCACAAGAAGAAGGACATGCGATGTTAGCAAATAGTTTGTTTTCCTAATCTATGGAGGCAGAAAGAGAAGTGAGGTTTAAATAAATGATTTCCAGACTACTCTTGAATTTTAGGAATATCTCAGTCTAAGTTGGCAATGGCAGCATCTCTGTTATTGGATAAATTTGTTTTAACTTCATGCAGACTTTCGTTATCAATTAATCCAGGTGAAAAAAGTAGAAGAAAAAATGTCAGTAGTATGGCCATATTTTCTATAAAATATATTTACATATATCTGCATGTGTGTGTGTGTGCGCACGCATTTAGATATATAAAATGGAAAGAAATACAAAATATAAACAGTGGCTACATCTGGGGGGGTGGGATTATGATGTGGAACATTTTCTCTCATTATAATTTTCTCTAATTTTCAAATTTTCTAAATGTTATTGCATTTTCAAATAAGCCTCATTTTGAATCATATAAAAACTACAGTCCCATTAAGCCTGAGTTTAGTTTTAGCAACTCACATATGGCAGGTTGTTACTTTGGCTCCTTAAAAGTCATTTCCAATCTTTCCCCGATTTGAATGTGCTCAGAAAAGTAAATCATCTCCCATGCCTAAATCACATCTTAATCCTCTTAGAATTGGGGATGTCAGGGCTCTGGGAAGGGTCTTGTAGTTTCTAGAGTTTGAAGAAGCAGACAAGGCAGGGAATGGGACTGTAGCCTGGTTGTATGTACATTTAAAATGCAAGACACATATTTCACCCAGGGTTTCCCTCCCCTGCCTCGTGACAGTTTTGCATAAAGGGATATTGAGAATTTAGAAGAAACACTATTGGCATTTGAAGACCAATTAGTCTTGTGGATCTCCACCCCAAGTTGTATAACACAAAGGTCCTCTCACTCAGCAATCTCTTCTTCCTGGGAAGAGAACCTGGGGTCACAGCTTGAATTCAGGGCTCTCCTCTCAGCAAAGGTGTCTTTTGCTAATAAGCTTGAATGCCTGAAACTGCAGCTCTCCAGTTAATAATGGTTACTTAAAAATGTCTGTCTGATTCTTTAAGGCTAGCACAACTGAAAAAGCCATTCATTATAATAAATACACTATCCCTACACAACTGCTATAGTTTTAATGTCCTTTCCAAAATTCATGTTGAAATTTAATTGCCATTCTAACGTATTACAAGGTGGGAACTTTAAGAGGTGATTAGGTCATGAGGGAATTGGTACCATTATAAAGGAGTGAGTTTGTCCCCTTCTTCCTCTCTTGCTCTTCTGCCTTCCACTATGGTCTGATACAGCAAGAAGACCCTTGCCAAATGCCAACCCCTTGATCTTGGACTTCCCATCCTTCACAACTGTGAGGAAAGAAACTTCTGTTTTTACTTTTTTTATAAATTACCCAGTCTCAGGTATTCTGTTATAATGGCAGAAAACAGACTAAGACACCAACTTATTCACATTTGTGATGAGTATAAGTCAACAGATTTCAGTTATGCTTCTCTCATTCGTTATTTCATTTCCATATTTAATAAGCATTATTGATTGTTTACTATGTGTCCTGCCCTGAGCCAGGCGTTGAACACACAACAAAAAACAATGCACTCAGCCTGATTCATGAGCTGAGAGTCTAATGAGGGCTACAGTTGAGTACACAGGCAATTACAGGACAACAGACAATTACAGTGCTGGATTTGTGAACCAATTTCTCAGATAGATACCAAAATATTTCAAGGTGTACAAGACTTTGCATGAAAGTACTTGCATAGAAGTACAAATTAGTTTGCTTAAATGAGGGCTGACTACTGTTGAGACCAGTATATTGATCTTCCAAAATGAAGTGCTTTTCTGTTTAAAAGAGGTCAAATGTGCCACCTATCTAAGCTCAGTAAGCTCAGGCATCAGATGCACCTTCTAAATAATAGCAACTTTATTTGCAAAGCATCTTTTATCCTGTTAGTCTATAACATGCTTTATAAACTCAATAAATGACTATAATATATTTTTATAAACATTGGTTAAAACACCGACATTTTAATATATTTCATGTCATAAAGTATATTAGTTTTCTAAAAAAGCCCTCCAACAGTAATTTTGTTAGTACTTACATTAAAAGATGCCACTTGTACTTCATAAAACATATCAACCTGCTGACAGAGGATAGCAATTTTTTCTCTTGATAGGAACATAGTTTCCTAACAAACTACTGGGTCTGCTTTATGTTTCTCTCCTCATTTTCCCTGACCTGATTTTATAAAAGTAAAAACTGAAGAGATGATGAGAACAGAAGATACACACACAATCACCTTTCTGGTTGATAATCCTGCTGCGATCTTAGTGTAATGTTAATGGGCCAAAAATGTGTGTGTTGTTAATTTAGTGACTTGTGAGAAAGCATCTGGAGTTTAATGTAGCAACGTCGACTATGCAAAAAAATGTAATCATAATGCTGGCAAGGCTCAGTGCTCTAGATGAAGCCCAACTTGTTAGTCAGCGCCACAAGGGCATTTAAACCCAAGCTGGGGACAGGGCAGTTCACAGGAAATGCCACAACATGTTCCCAGATGCCTCAGATCGTCCACCATTTGGTTATAATAGAAAAACAATTTGAGGGAGAGCTTTGCATAAACAGATGGAAAAGGAGCACATTTTGGAAAAAGGGAAGAGAATAAGGAAATGCTTTGTTCTTGCTTTTGTTTTGCTTTGTTTCATGTCACTTTACATGTCCTTCATCTCATAAGTCATTAAGATATATCAATAAGTACTTTTTTGTAGAATATATACTCAGTTTCCACAATGACATCACATTTAGAGATATCTCTAGACATTTGATAATATCGAGTCCTCTGTGGAGGAACAATAGTGGATGCTTGTTTCCTGGAAAGCCAGTTGGATGAGGAGAAGAAAGAAACAAAAACATGAGTGTTTGGAGCTGTATTTCATTCTCTTCAGAAGGCAAAGAAGCTGGTAGCAAGTGTTTTGTTCATTTGCTTATTTAAGCTATGTCTGTGATATTTTGACATCATCATTTTCATTGCAGATAAGTAATTTGATGTCTAAAATGTGTGCGTATTAATGTTAGAATTCTCTGGAGCTAATAACTGAGCATTCTGAGAATGTATATCATCAAAAGGATTTACTTGGCCTAAATTTTATTGCAGTTATATAGGGAACAACTTCACAAACCACTCTTCTGGGGTGGTTTGTATGAAGAAAGTGGAAAGGGTCCCTTAACATTGGGGTTTATATTCACATGTGGTTGGACCCAACATTCTATTCGGCATAGATGTATCATTCCAAGTCCTGCTTCCATCTCCAAGTTTATTTAGTGACCTTAGGCAAGTCACTCTGTCCCTTTGCATGACTTTTTTTTCTGTTTGTAAATAGGGGACAAATAGTATCCACCCTATATGTTTTTTGCAAGATTAATGGTAGCACCAAAGGAAAAAAAAGTATGCAAAGTTATTGTGGAAACATAAGTAGTTATGTACATTTAATAGTTTGTTGTTATACTAAAATAATTTTACCATACCAGCTGCTTGTCCTAAGGGTTTCTAAGGGGTACGAAAGCTTTATAGAGCAGCTGCTTTCAATGATTTAGACTTTCTATATGGAAAATAGACATCCCTGGAAGGGACTGGGAGAAGTATATAAATACATATATGGGCAGAGTTACCAGCAGCCAGAACGGATTTCATGACAGTTCATTCTCTCCCTGTAAACTCCAGGAAGGTATGGGAAGAAAACTGATTTTAATGTGAGTGTCTCCCTTTTAACCTTACTGGACACATGATGACATTATTTCATCATATGTAATAATATGTCTGTGTGCAGGTGATGGTTTCTGGGCTATTTTAAGTATCTCTGCCTACATACATAGTTAGACAACCTTCAATTTGTCAGAATCTTATTGCAACAAAAATTGACCTCCAGTCACATGTTCATTCTCATGATCCCATACAGACCATATGTAATTGAAATATAGAAGAGATAAAGTGAATAAAAATAAGCATCAAAGGTTTTATCGTTATTCTTCCCTTCTATTCCCTATCCACTCCTGTTTTCCTCCAATAACGAAAAAGTATGAGAAATAGAAGACATCTAAAGTAGAAGAGAGATTGTCAAATTGTTATTTATTATCTCAGAAGTTATTATAGAAGGAACTCCCAGGTCTCTGTAAAAGAGTCAGCATTTCCTCCTACCTGTTGACATCCTTCCTCAAGCCCTCACTACACAAAGAGGAAGCACTTTCTCTCTAGGAAGAAGTGATGGGTCATGGCAAGTTGACAGATAATTACAGGAGAAACAGAGGGCACCATTACCAGTGTTTGAGATGGTTGATGTAAAGTGAAAAATTGAGACTTAACTGAACGACTTTCACAAAACAAAATGAAATTCCCAAATACTCTGGAAGGGTGTAGCAGAGAGGGCTCTAAATTAACCCTAACCCACTTCTATTTTCTCTTAGGCCACCCGCTAAGTAAACTACGTTCTCCACTCTCCTTTCAGTGACATGAGCTGTTCCTGCAAAGAAGTAGTTAAGAAGTGGGAGCATGCTTTCCTCCTATTCTCTGCCCCTCATCAACCAGCTGAACAGAAAAGACTTAAAGGAGATAGAAGAGGACAGGGATGATATAAGGTAGGATATTAAACAGGAATTTATATGAGTAAGAATATAGCCTACATTAATAGATAAAAAGAGAAAGACATTGTCTTTCTAAACTGAATTTATAGAGCCATTCCACTGACCAGTGAAATCACTGACAAAGCTGTGACCGAATGACCCTCTAGAGTCTACACTAGTAGTCTTCCAAGCATGGTCTCCAAGTGAGCAGCATCAACATTACCTGGGAACATGTCAGAAATGCAATTTTCGGGCCCAGTGTGGTGGCTCACGCCTGTAATCCCAGCACTTTGGGAGGCCGAGGCGGGAGGATCACAAGGTCAGGAGATGGAGACCATCCTGGATAATGCGGTGAAACCCCATCTCTACTAAAAATACAAAAAATTAGCTGGGTGTGGTGGCGGGTGCCTATAGTCCCAGCTACTCTGGAGGCTGAGGCAGGAGAATGGCATGAACCCAGGAGGCAGAGCTTGCAGTGAGCCAAGATCACACCACTGCACTCCAGCCGGGGTGACAGAGCACAAGACTCTGTCTCAAAAAAAAAAAAAAGAAAGAAATGAAATTTCTTGGATCCCACTCGAGACCTACTGAATCAGAAACTCTGAGGGTGGGTCCAGCAATTTTAATAAGCCTGCCTGGTGGTTCCGAGGCATGCTAAAGCTTGAGGACCATTGTTCTAGAGACTTTCGCAGCAGGACAGACCTTAAAACACGTTTGCAGAGGTAAATGGCCCAGTGCTTCAAACTTTGACATTTTGATACATTCTTCAGGCATATATGTAAATATTGGAAGAATACACTGGAACAAAGGCATTTCTGACACTTTGCTGCAAGACAGAGTCAACTTGGGAAGAAACAAGACTTGCATCAGGTTAATGAGCATTAGGTTTGCTTAGTGCCTCGAATGATCCCAAGCCTGTACATTGCCTGTTTTTGATCATTAGGGCAGGTAGAGGATTTGTGTGGGGTGGGAAGAGATAGAATAGTC
This sequence comes from Homo sapiens, assembly GCF_000001405.40. Taxonomy (NCBI): domain Eukaryota; kingdom Metazoa; phylum Chordata; class Mammalia; order Primates; family Hominidae; genus Homo; species Homo sapiens. The sequence goes on from NC_000001.11 coordinate 208,832,909, forward strand.
TCAACATGAAATAGAAAGTAGTTTTTTGTTGTTGTTCTAGTGCATATTTAAAGGAGCTGAGACCCCCCAGAACCTCAAAGCTTGGAAAGTTTTGCATACATTTCCAGCAGTGTCCTGAGTGCTCAGAAGAAGTGGATATAGTGCTGTGTTAGATGGTCCTATTAGCAAGAGAGCCTAGGAGGGCACACAGTCAGCCTCTTCTTTACCAACAGCTGCCCTTTTGTTCTCAAGCCAAAAGAACTGTAAGGGACAAATACTATGCAGCCCCTACTTTATCATGGGGCACAGCAGAAGAACCCCATAAAAATGCTTAATCCCAGGGGCAGAGTCTTACCCACTTGGATGGCAGTAAAAAAAGGAAAGCTATACCATTTGCTTTCTGCTGTCTGACCCTTCTATGGTGCCGTGTTGTACCCAGAGGGTCAGGTTCATAAATAACCCCACCTCCAGGCTGGCCCCTATTCACATCCTATCAAGGGAGGCAAGACGAGATTTCATGGGTCAGCTGGGGGAGATTTGAAGGCCTAACCTGTAGGTCACATCAATCTCAAATGTGTTTCCTTGCCTGCTTTTTGTTTCATGCTCAGCCTAGAGAGATTCTCTCTTCTGGGTGAAATGGACTCTCCATTCCCTTCCCCTGCAATGACCAATACCAGGATGGTGGCCCTTTATCAAGACAGTATGTACTGTTAGAAGGGTCCACACACAGCCTAAGAGGAAAAGATGGGAGAACTAGAACAAGATTGATGTCTGTGACAGCCCGGGCTGGGGATAAGGTAAGGCAAGCAAAGCCCACAGTACACTTTCCTCGGACACAAAACTAAAGTGTTGCCAAAAAACCTCAATAATCAACATAAATAACATTTTAATGCAACAGTTTTTGAAAAGTGACAATCATGCAAAAAATTCATGATGAGCAAAATACCAAAAGTTTAAATAAAGACAGGATCAGTATCACTGAGTTTTCCTCTTGCTCTGGGCTCCAAAGGTTTTACACAGCACTGTTGGCGACAGTCAGCGACAACAGTGGAAATAAGTTCAGTTGCATATAGAATAGACAGGTGGGTGATTAGTAAAAGCTCATTCTCTGAGGTCAGAATTCCTAGTGTAAAAAAGAAAGAGAAGAGAGAGAGAGAGAAGAAAGACAGAAAAAGACAGGGAAGAGGAAGAAAATCTACTGAGCACTTATAGTGTGAGGTATTGCATTAAGTACATTACATGTATTAATTCATTTGGTCCTCAAAACACTATGAATAAAATACCATCATCAGCACTCTATCAACAAGGATAGACACAGAGAGGTTAAATTAGTTGTCCAAGTTCACATAGTAAGTGGTAGAGCTGGGATACAAACCAAGGCTTCAGAGTCCTTATTTTTAAGCAGTATGAAGACAAGAAAGAGAAAAAAGCCAGGAAGGAAATGAAAGGGAGAGAAAGCAGCAGAGTTCTTTGTATTTGCCAATAGCAAAGGAAACATGAAGAAATGCTGGCTGTTTGATGAAGACCATTTTAGCATCTTTGAACCGGAGACAAAAGCATATTTGAGGCACTTGCTGTCGTGCTGGCACAAAATATCTACTTAATGTTGGTTGTTTTCACATCCTGACATCTCCCAATTGACAAGGAAATGCTTAGCATGCCATGAAATGAACAGGAGCCAGAGCTGAGCAGACGCGGCTGCCGGGCAATGGCGGGGATTGCCGCCTGTCTGCTTATTCATCCTGCTCCCTTCAAAACAGGTCTCACTCTGCCTCGCTGTCTCTAAATTGTTTTCCATAGAACTTAGAAATAACATACAGATGTGGGCATGTATTATTTATTTACTTATTTATAGGTTATATCTGTGCGTATTGTGTAAGTATTTAAAACCTGACTTGACCCAGTGCAAAAAGAATGATGTCTCAATTGCAGGAGGGGACACGTTGTACAGGTTTAAGTATGATAGATGGGACGACCTCCCTTGCTTAGTAAACTGCAGTGAGAGAAACTGAATAGCCCTGAAATTAGAAGGAGGGTGGGAGGGGGAGGGTCATGCTGGTGTAATATTACTGGAACAAGATGCAGAGAAAAGTAATTTACTCTGAAGTGACAGTCTGAAGGCAAAAAATAAACTAACAGGAGGGAGTTTAGGCTTATTAGCAGCCTGGTCTCAATATTTCATTATTAATGATAATAAAAAGAAGAAAGGAGGGAGAAAAGGCATATGAGCGTGTATGCTCCCCCTGCCTCTCCCCACACACACAGCGAGCTCAGAGGCTCACAATAGCACAGGCTCCTGGACTCCCTTTTAGGGCACAATAAAAGGCACCTCCAGGAGAAAGGAAACACCAGGCAGGATGAAGAATGGGTTAGCTCTGGTTCTTGTTGGCTCTCGTCTAAATGCCTGAATTGGTGGGGCCTCTCTGCAGGATTCTGGCTGATTTATTAGAACCTCTGCCTCAGGCAACGAAGCCCCCAACTATTGCTCTGCAGCTTGGCCTGGGTGAGCAACACTGAAAAGGGAGACCACGCTGAGCTGCCCCTGGGATTTCTCAGGCGATGCTCCTCTGGGTGGGAGGCAATCACTTTTGCCTGAGATTATATATTGTCTGCACCTAGGCAGGGAAGGAACAAAGATACTGGGATCAATAGCTATGGTCTGGCTATAAAAGAAAACAGGATACATCCCAGAGATTGTGGCTAAAACCTAAAAATAAAATTCTCCAGTAAGCAATCATGTTGAATTTGATTTAATTTAAAATGGCAAAAAAGCCATCAGGCTCTACCTGTTGCCCTAATAAAGAAAATAAAAATCATCCTCCATGCCACCAGCTGCCCCTACTGACGAGTAGTTTGCTGGGAATAACTAACACATTTTCTTCTTGACAGTGATCCTTGTAGCTCACCCAGTCTGGCCTGGTCCATTTTTTCTGGTTTCTTGGACCATTTCTGAACACTTTAATATGGTTATATTAATGTTAATACTATTGGACAAAACAGCAACTCCTTTCTGCTGCTCTCACCCAATGGCCTTGAGCAATTGAAAACATATTCAAGGTCATTTTTTTTCTATGGTTTATGTGCTCACAGTGTATTAACATGACAGAATTATCCAGATGACTAATAGCTATATGAAGGTGTATTGCTGTGCTGGGCACTATGCTGGGTTAGGGTGAATACCAAAATGAACCAAATATGTGGTCCTTTTCCTCTTGTTACTGATAGACTACTGAGGCAGGCCAATATGAAGCCATGCACACACAAATGACCATGTCATGACAAATTGTGTTAAGTAGCATGAAGAAAATGATCCTGGTGCTATAAAGAAGATTGTGGGTTATGAAGGCTACTTTCCTTAGGGAGGTCCAGTTAGTTGCCTTGGAGGAAGTGGCATTTAAACTGAGACGGGAAGGAAGAAGCAGCCAGCCAGAATAATTAGAGTAGGAAGAGAACTCTAAGCAGGGGTCCACTGGTGTGAAGGTCAGTCAGAAAAAAGCTTATCAATTTTTTTGTTCAAAAAGGAGAAAGAGGCCAGGTGCGTAATCCCAGCACTTTGGGAGGCTGAGGCGGGTGGATCACGAGGTCAGGAGATCGGGACCATCCTGGCTAACACGGTGAAACCCCATCTCTACTAAAAATACAAAAAAAAATTAGCCGGGCGTGGTGGTGGGCACCTGTAGTCCCAGCTACTCGGGAGGCTGAGGCAGGAGAATGGCGTAAACCTGGGAGGCAGAGCTTGCAGTGAGCTGAGATCGCGCCACTGCACTCCAGCCTGGGCAACAGAGCAAGACTCCCTCTCAAGAAAAAAAAAAAAAAAAAAAAAGAAAACAGAAAGAGGCCAATGTCTCTGGAGCAAGCTGCTGAGGGGAGATCAGTCCCCTGTGTGACCAGAGATTGGGCAGGGAGTGTCATGAAGTGTCTTCAAGGTCAGCAAATCAGGTTGGATTTTATTCTGAAGGTAAGAGATAGTTTATTATGGATAACTTAAATCAGAGGGGAGACATGAACAAATACATTTTAAAAGGATCTTTCTGGCTGCAGTGTGCAGAATGAATTGAGGGTGGGACAAGTCTGGAAACAGGGAGACCCACTGGAAACAGTGGGACAGGAGGGAGGTGGAATGGAGATAGACAGGAGGAGATTCAAGGTAGTTTTCAAAGAAGAAGACGCAGGACGAGGTAAGTGATTATGTGAGGAAGCATCCAGTAGGCCCCAGATATCTGGCTATGCCCCCTGAAGATAATTGTTAGTATAACAATGGCATTGCAGTCAGTGAGTCTAGACCTGGGGCACACATTCTTCATAAACTATGTAAACACATGGGCAGATCTGTCTGTGGACAACTGTATCTAGTAGCCCCCAGAGGCCAGCCTACCCCACTCCATTTGGTAGCTCAAGATGCCTATGTTCTTTCTTTTGTTGTGATTTTATTTCCTTCCCTCATGTCTGAGTGCTCTTTGTTTCTCTCCTCTAAATCCAGAAACTTATGATGTCTCAGATGGGGCAGAGGAGCCTCTGGAGCAGTAGTCATCAAGGTATTGTCCTAGGACCAGCTGCCTCAGCATCATGTGGGAACTTGTTGGAAATGTAAATATTTGGATCTCAACCCCAGATCTACTGAATCAGTAACCTTGGAGGTGGACACTCAGCCACCTGCACCTGTGTTTGAAAAGCCCTCCATGTGATTTGATCCATGCTAATGTTTAAGAACCACTTCTATGGAGCCTCACTGTCCTATAGGGCAGTCACTCACCACACGTGGTTATTGAGTCCTTGAAATATGTCTAGTCTGAATTGAGATGCACAAGCGTAAGACACACATCAGGTTGCAAAGACATAGTACAAAAAAAAATGTAAAAGTTCTCATTAATCATTTTTATATTGACATGTTGACATGATAATATTTTTGATATTTGGGATTAAAATGTACAGTAAAAATTGTCCCTTGTTTCTTTTTACCTTTTTAATGTGGCTACGAGAAAACTTAAATTTATATAAGTACTACGTTTTAGGTTGGTGCAAAAGTTACCACAGCTTTTGCCATTGCGGTCAATGGCAAAAACTGCAATTGTTTTGCACCAATCTAAATACTATATTGTAATTGGACAGTGCTCTGGAGCATTACTGCTCCAATTCCAATACGTATGGGAATCTGGGAATCTGTTAAAGTGCAGATTCTGATTCAGTGGGTCTGGGGTGAGAGCTGAAATTCCGCATTTCTAGCAAGCTCCCAGGTGATACCCCTGCTGCTGGCCTATGGATCACACTTTTGAGTGGCAAGGCACCAATATATTTTGGTAATATTTCTGAAAGTAGTTCTGGTGCCAAGGTTACACCAGGTTTTACGTCCCAAGTCTGCTTCTTATTAACTATGTGACCTTGGACAAGTCTTTTTTTTTTTTTTTTTTTTTTATAGACAGGGTCTCCCTCTGTCATTCAGCCTGGAGTGCAGTGGCATGATCATGGCTCACTGTAGCCTCAATCTCCTGGGTTCAAGTGATTCTTCTGCCTCAGCTTCCCCAGCAGCTGGAAGTATAGGCACATGCCAACACACCTGGCTAATTGTATTTTTAGTAGAGATGGGGTTTTACCATGTTTACCAGACTGGTCTCAAACTCCTGGGCTGAAGGGATCCACCCACTTTGGCCTCCTAAAGTGTTAGGATTACAGGTGTGAGCCACTGCGCCCAGCTGGACAAGTCATGTTTTAATGAAAAATGGAGATAACAGAAATAATCTCACAGGGTTACTGCAACATTTAAACAAAACGTCATTGATGAAATTATTTTTGTTTTATCAAAGCCAAATAAATCTAAATTTTTACTCTACATCTCTCCCCACCTCTCACCCCTGCAACACACATAGAGATATTCTGGGTGAATGATGAATGGAAACAATTTCCCTAGTTTTTGAGATGATTCAGGGCTACCAAAAGGTAGCCCAATTACTTAGCTATTCCAAATCATCTCCAAATTATCTCTGCATGGATTAGCTGAATCATTGCAACCAAGAAGTCATCTGAGAAGGAGGATAGAATTTGGCAAGCATTTCTCTCAGAAGCATTTGGGGATTGGGGTCAATGCTGACTTGTTACCTTCCCAAAGCGTGAGGCTCCAAGGAAGGCATTATCCTAAACATCCAGCTCCAGGTCTCAGAGTATCAGAGCATTCTCAAGGCGAGGGGGATCCATCAGATCAGGCTTCATCTGCAATTAGCAAGAAACTAGACTCCTAGAAAGAGCCGCTGTATGACCTGAAGGAAAAGAGAACAGTACTGGCCATGTGACTGTGTCATCATTAGGAAGATGGGGAAGGCGGAGAAAGATGCATAAAGCAATAGTCCCTTAAAGCATAATTATCATGCATGTTGGCAGCACCCATATGGTGGAGATGAGCCCAGCTTTCTCTCTAGGGCTGCAGTGCTGGGAATACAAGATGGCAGGAGAAGACAATGAGATTCTCAGAAACAGTAACTTTGCACCAAGCACTGTGCTAGGTCCCTGAGATGGAAACAGCTGCAATTTGCTTTGTCAAAGGAAAGAAAAAGAGAAAGTGTCTTGTTATCCACCAGCACCAAGCAGCCCCTCATTTACGCACACACAGACACACACACAGACAGAAACACACACACACATACACACATGCACACACATAGAGTTTACTTATTCCTTCCCCAGCCCAGCAAAAGGGGAGAGGAATACAGAGAGTGTCTTCTTTCAGGAGGGTTACTAAATGGAATTCCTGGACAAAGTAGGGCAGGTCATCCCTGAGTATTCTCCAAGCAGTTTTCTCTAGAAAGGGAAAGACCATGTTGTACAGAGGAAGACTCTTGCCCTGCAACATCCATTTCTAGCTTTGTTGGTGGCACGTGTCATGCACAGTCCAGAATGCTACATAAAACCAGACCCACAGCACTAAGTAGCAATGGCTTCAAAAGACGAGATCTATTTACAAGCTACACTAACCCACAGAGAGCAGATTAGTTTTCCCCTTCCTGGGCCTTACGTGCAACATCTTTGAAATGAGAGGGTTTGACAAAGTGGTCTACAAAGTCCCCTCAAGCCACGATATTCTGCTATTGTAAAGGGTATTTGCTTATGTAAAATGTCCCACCTAGTAAGGAACCTCTTTGCAGACAGGGTACATGTGGTTGCCCTGTGAAAGGCAGGTGCAACTGGAGAAGGGCTGGGAGAATACAAACACCATGAAGATGTCCCAAAGAAATAGTATCTGAGAGGCCCAGGAAATGAGCCTCCCTGGGACAGCAGATGCATTTGTTCTCCACTCCTTTGAAGAAAGACCTCCACTGTGTGAGGAGGAGAATTTGGGTTCCAGAGTAGGAGCTAGAGGTGAAGTGAGTGGGGCAAAGGAGGGTCTAAGCAAATGGTGACATTTGTCATCAGGGCCTCCTAATTTCCTCATACCTCCCTCACACTCCAGTCCAAAGGATCTTTGTGGTCTCTTCCCTCTCTTCCTGCTCGACAGGAAATATCTGATGTTAGTCTCAAGAAAAATAATGAAATTAGTATTTCAGAAACTGCTATATGCCAGGCACTTACATAAAGGATCTCATTTAACTTTTGCTATTAGGGCCAAGACTAGGATGAGGCTAGGAAGGCACCTACTGTTCAGGGTACAAAGCAAAAGTGATCCCAGGGTTGTAAGTGCAGTGAATACTACTGTACAACCCTAAGCGTGGGCATCACCTTAAATTGCATCTAGCCGTCTCCTCTGCCTCACTGCACCTGCCCTTCTTTGCCCTACTTGTACTTGTATTTCCATGCCTTAAATATGGAATCTGCCATAAAGAGATCCAAAGTCATGTGGCCACAGGATTAAATTAAGACCCATCTGATTGGTCTACCCCAGAAACTTGGTGGTTAATGACTCAGACTCTGGAGAGTTTAGAAAAGCCTGCTAGTTTAGAATTCTGGACCTACACTTGCTAGCTGGTAGTCTCAACCAACATACTTAAATACTAAGCTGCAGTTCTCTCATCTGTAAGAAGGGAATAATAGCAGTACCTACTTCATAGCATTGTAACGAAGATTAAACAAGAAATGCATGTAAAGTACTTTAAGCAGTGCCTGGGACAAATCTCTCAATACATATTAACTATGGTGACATGTTGGTGATGATGTTGATGGTAGTGGTGGTGGCAGTGATGGTGATGGTAATGATGATAATGATATGATAAATATTGGGCTTTGATATCACTATTATTCTGATCACAATAATTTATAATGCATAGTAAGCTATCCTTTCCATGTGGTCTTTGAATTCTAGCAGGAATTAACATCTTGAACACTAGATATCCAACAATAAATTACTAGATATTATCACTGAATTCAGGCAAATTATCTTTGGAGGGATTATAGGAGTTGCCCAAAATCACACAATGAATGTCATTTCCAGCTCTAATGTCTGCCCCATGCACTCATAGGTTTGCAGATTAAGGAAATGACTCTCCCTTTAGGATCATGAGTAAATCCAACAGGAAGAATTTGCCAGGCAATGCAATTCGGGACCTTGTACACTCCAGCAATCAGGCCAGCATTTTCTAAACTTTTGCCCCATAGAAGCCAAGATGTGTCTTCTCCTCAGCTCACTGATTGCTAGCCCAGGATAGAATCTACTCCCTTGGGATGCCCTGGCCCCAGGAATGTAAGTTTGGATTGTCCCTGCCACCGCAACTGGCCTCCTTTCACAGTCGATTACACCCCCATTAATTGTGGTTGTTAATAATCTGCAAAGCACCTTCCGCTGGCAGTGTCGAGCGCTGTGGGGAAGGAAAGCCACGTCTGGCATTATTTAATTGACCTCCCCATTAGCAGCGCTGGCTACTATGGCCATGGAGCCAGATCATGCAGACTAAATGCCGGTCCCTGAGCACAGCTCACGTCAATCAGAATCAACTCATGAAAGGGTGCTCTGCGGAGCTGCACAGGGTGTGAAAAGTCAGCTAAGCCAAAGAGGGGGTCTGATGGTGATGTGTGAACTTGACGTCCAGCCTGCAGAGGGGTGGCCGTCTTGTTCCTCTGTCACTGGATGACCTTTAGGGAGGACAGAAATAAAGCAGGGGTGACAAATAAAAAGTGAAGCCTAAATCACTGCCCTTGGGGTGCCAGGCCTGACACCCAGTGAGGCTGCAGAGAAGAGACCATGAGCTATGGCTTTACTTCCTCTAGCTGGCCTCCCTGGTCACTGCCACTGCTATGCTGCTTATCTCCACACCGACAACTCTAATTTCATCAGCCCAAAGAGAAGCCCAAAGGGGCTCTTGAAGGATGTCACTCTAGATGTCACATTGGACAACAATGTCCAAACACCCACTGAACCTCAGAACTGAAAGGACCTTGAAAGAATCTGACATTAGAAACACAAACTCAAGAGTAGGATATTAAAGCCTTGGGGCCACTGGCACCAATGCCAATGGGTCTCCCTGGCCCAAACTCCTACCCTCTTTTTCTTCTACTCTCTGTCTTTCTCTGCTTCTTCATTCTTTGTTTTTGTCTCATTTTTTCTCCTGTGATGAATTGCACCACCTCCCCTGCACACACGTATTCATGCTATCATAAACCCATGAAAATGTGATCCCTTGTATGCAGTTATGTTTATGCTGCACACCTGAAAGAGGATAGTAGTACAAATAATGCATCTGATTATGACTTAGAAAAATAAGAGCCTTTTCTCTGCCTTCCTGAAAAGAGCCTTCAATACTGACAACTCCCTTTGTGAGAAGAACAAAGATATCCCATGAGGTGGGTCTATGGGGAGCAAAGAGAACAGTTACAGACAATAGCGGAGGAGGAAAGTGATGAAACGAGGCTTCCCTGCAACCAGAGGAAGACAAGCTGAAGACCAAAACAGAGACAGATGACATGGAGTCTGGATGGGGAGCAAGCAGAGACCCACACAGATGGTGTTAGACTGAGGAAAAACTGTTGGGCCACCTCCAAGTTCGAAAGTGTCCTAGTAGTGCTTTCTACCATTAATAGGTACCTTCTTCCTTAACAGGAATCATGAGTGTGGTTGCAGGCCAGATGATTGGCTAACAGTTTATGATGGTCTGACACCTTACAATCAAAAGGAGAGCAAGCTTTAAGGGAATAGTGGCTGGATTTGGGGTTTCAGGGGCTGAGATCATAAATTAAGTTCCTTTGCTCAATTATAAATCCAGGGAGGCAGCAGTTGACCAACAGTGAGCTGTTTTATTGTATTTGCACTTCGCCTATTACATTGATCTCTCTCATGCTCCCCACTACTGCCTGCACCACCAACCCCATCCACACTCACATCTCTGTCTTCCTGGGTACTTTTTTGTCCAGGTGTGACTGCTACTTGTAGGTGCTGCAATGGCCAACAGTTCAGCTGAGTGGGAGAAGAGAGTATTGCAGAGGAAACTCCTAAGCCCTGAAGACCTGCCATGTGGCTAAGTGTGGTGGCTCACACCTGTAAGCCCAGCATTTTGGGAGGCCAAGGTGGGTGGATCACGAGGTCAAGAGATCGAGACCATCCTGGCCAACATGGTGAAACCCTGTCTCTACTGAAAATACAAAAATTAGCTGGGCATGGTGGTGCACTCCTGTAATCCCAGCTACTTGGAAGGCTGAGGCAGAAGAATCGCTTGAACTCAGGAAGCGAGGTGAAGGTTGCAGTAAGCTGAGATCACGCCACTGCACTCCAGCGTGGCAACAGAGCGAGAATCTGTCTCAAAAAAAAAAAAAAAAAGACCTGCCATGCACACAACCCTCCTGAGGAAAACTGACCCAGCTAGTGGGCAACTAGTCTCTTATCTGGCCAGCAGCCTGTCAGGTGGCCTGCCTGAAGTGCTTCACTCACCAGGAATGATAAGGCCAATTAAAGAATGAGACTCTGTCTCAGGGAGTTTGTATGTGAGCAATACAGAGACAAAGAAAAAGAGGAATAAAAAGAATAAGGAAAAGGGACTTTGAGTAACTCTAACAGGGAAACCGTAACGTAGGATGTACAACTTCAACAGGGAAACCGTAACGTAGGATGTACAACTTCTCCATCAAATCACCAGGCTTCTGTTGGACTATTAGAGCTACTTAGGGCCTGTACCCAGGCTGATTCCACTTCTGGGACATGTTTCCTTCATTTGCCTAGCAAATTTCAATCATTCCCAAAGCACATGTAACTTGAGAAATTATGAGGGCTGCAGGAGGGAACACCTAGAGAATACTCATGGAATATTGTCCAGGAAACGTGGCCGCAAATCAGCCAAGAGAAGTTTGGGAGGATAAAGAGAAGGCAATGCCTAATGTGAAGACAGCAGCCTAAAAAACTGTTTCAGTCCCTGCATGGTGGCACTTCATCCCAGCTATGCCAGAGAAGTCTTTGTCTTGACATACCTTCTCCCAAGGCCATGGCCTAGCCACTGGGTGGCCACCACAGTTGCAGAAATAGCTGAGCTCCAATCTAAACAAGCTTCAGTCTTGTTTTAAATCTTTTAAGAAAGTGGTTGATCCAGTTTCAGACAAGAAAGAAATAACAGGCCAGGTATGGTGGCTCATGCCTGTAATCCCTAGAACATGGGAGTGGCCGAGGCGGGTAGATCCCTTGAGGTCAGGAGTTTGAGACCAGCCTGACCAACAAGGTGAAACCCTGTCTCTACTAAAAACACAAAAATTAGCCGGGATTGCAGTGAGATGAGATTGTGCCACTCCACTCCAGCCTGGGCGACAGAACTAGACTCTGTCAAAAAAAAAAAGGAAAAGAAAGAGAGAGAGAAAGAAGAAAGAAAGAAAGAAAAAGAAAGAAAGGAAAAGAAAGAAAGAAAGAAAGAAAGAAAGAAAGAAGGAAGGAAAGAAAGAGAAAGAAAGGAGGAGAAAACGGCGACAGAACAAGACTCTGTCAAAAAAAAAGGAAAATAAAGAGAGAGAGAAAGAAAGAAAGAAAGAAAAAGAAAGAAAGGAAAAGAAAGAAAGAAGGAAAGAAAGAGAAAGAAAGAAAGGAGGAGAAAACGTAGATGAAACAGTTAATTAACAATTTATTGCTTGAACTCTACCTTGAGAGATACAGTGCTGGGATGGAAATATTATGGGTTATATCGTCACACAAACCTGATGCTAAACATATCCTGGGCAACTTACTGATGTAAAGCAGTGGATATGTATTTTAACTTACCTGAGCCTGATTGCCTCAAGTAAAATATATACATATATATGAATTCATATATATATATGAATACCAGCCTCATAGATGGTAAGTAATAAACATGATAACCTGTAGAAAACCTTAAGCATATCTGGTTGTAAATAAATGTTAGTTTTATGTGCTAATACATTGAGCTATGAAAATATGTCCCTGCCACCTTCTATTTCCTCATTCCCATTCCATATTCCCACAGGTAATTGTCCTTGAGTTTCTTCATTCAATGATTATTTATTGAGACTCTACTCCATGGCAGGTGCCATTCGAGATGTTGGGAATGTTGTAGTGTATTATATATATATACACACATTATTGCCTCAGAGGAGAGGCACTAAAGACTGGGAAATACAACCAGCCTTCAAGAGAAAAACACACAAACAAAAAGCATCACGGCTTTTGCTTTCAAAAGCCTAAGCCACTGTTAAGATAAAGGATTTGAAATGGACATCGGAGACTCAGAAGCAGGAAGTGTGGCAGTGGGGTGAGGGATAAAAAACTACATACTGGGTACAAAGTATAGTACTCAAGTGACGGGTGCACTACAACTTTAGACTTCACCCCTGTACAATTCATCCGTGTAACCAAAGACCACTTGTACCCTTAAAGCTATTGAAATAGATAGATAGATAGATAGATAGATAGATAGATAGATAGATAGATAGATAGATAGACAGACAGACAGACAGGTAGATAGATAAGGGATTTGGGTCTACACACAATGCCCTGGTAGAAACAGTAGGGTAAGCATGGCTTCCAGGCTAAAAAGATACTGTGAAGGCAAGAAACTGAGAAGACAGAGATGCTTGGGGAGTCTGTGCTGTCTTCCTTGTTCCTGGGAGTCAGCAGAACTCCAGAGGTACACAGCTATGTGGTTCATGTGGGACAGTTTTCCAACTGGCCACCTGCATCTATGTTTTGTTTGGACTTCAGGGTTGGTCTATGCTTCAAAAAAGAATCATGGCCTGAAACATTTAAGAAGTAATTGAGTCCCCCTCTTATTTTATCAATGAGGAGCTCAAGGCTGACAAAAGTGAAGTGACTTACCCAATTCACAGAGTAAGATAGTGGTCATTGTGTGTGTAGACATTGACTGTGCTGATCATGAGAGCCAGGCTCAGAAAGATGGTCTAACTCTGTGCCTAAAAACCATCCAGTAAATAAAGGTCGGGCGCAGTGGCTCGCGCCTGTAATCCCAACACTTTGGGAGGCCAAGGTGGGTGGATTACCTGAGGTCAGGAGGTCAAGTCCAGCCTGGCCAATGGTGAAACCCAGTCTCTACTAAAAATACAAAAATTAGCTGGGTATAGTGGCCTGTGCCTGTAATCTCAGCTCCTCAGGAGGCTGAGGCAGGAGAATCGCTTGAGCCCGGGAGGCGGAGGTTGCAGTGAGTGGAGATCGCACCATTGCACTCCAGCCTGGGTGACAGAGTGAGACTCTGTCTCCAAAAAAAAAAAAAAAACAAAAAAAAAAACCAAAAAAAGAAAAACCAAAAAAAACCCAGAAAATAAAGCTGCTGATAATGCAGATTCTTAGGCCCTGTTTTAAGGGCTTCTGATGCAATGGGTCTGTACTAGAATCCTTGGAAACTGAATTTAATACTACCCTGCAATGATTCTGATACAGGTGGTCTGAAGACTAATTGCCACCCTAGGCCTCTCCAGTGCTAATTGGTATGGAAGCCCACAGCCTCTGAGATGTAATGAGGTGTTATCAGTTCCATAAAATCCTTGGCTAGTGCAGCTCCCTTCCATAGGTGTAGGCTGAACCTCTTCAGATGAGTTATGGTGTGTATTTGCATAAATTACCATGTGAAACTTGTTAATATTTCCTAGATATCCTTTTTCGTTGCTCCATTAGACAAGGCTTTGCGCTTTTGTTTGGGGCTGAATGTCAGCCAATCCGGATCCACCACTGCTGTGGCATAGAACTTGAGGTGGAAATTTATTCCCCTCATAGAGCCATGGTGTCACCTCCCTGTCCTGGGAAATGCTATCTGAAATCACTTGAATTTTATCATGCAAATTATAGGAAGTGTTATCATTATAAGCAGCAGGAGGTTACTGGTTTGCTATCATTTACGTGTTAAATGAGTTCAACCTGCTAGTATAGGGGATGAGTTTGGAAAGAAGAAATGAAGGGACAATGAGGGGAAGGATTCCATCAGGGGTTGAGGCCCCCAGAGCTTTGTGCCTCCAGTAAAGTGAGGCTTCAAAAAGATGCTTGGATTTGTTTGATAGAAAAAGGCTCAAAAACAGCTTGCTTTTTGGAGGAGAGGCATACGAGAGAAGAGAAAGCACACGACTTAGCCACCTTATGATGATGCCAAGAGAAAGTTATACCTGGATGAATTGTTCAAACGGGAACTGGAATGTGAGAATTTTGGCTTCAGAAGAGTTTGAAGATGTCAGGACCTTGAGATAATCAAGCGTAACCACTTTATTTCACAGTTAAGGAGACTGAGGCCAGGAGAAGAGAAGTCACATATTCAAAATCGAGTCAGTAATTTGAAAGTAAAAACTAGCCCCCTATTGCCCAATTCTGCATTGTTCTATGCCCTCTTGCTTTTTGTCTCTCCATAACTTTTGAAATCACCAACACAGACAGCATTTAGAGCTCCTGTATTTACCCTGGTTCCTAGGGTGCCTATTACCTACCACACGTCTCTAGACCATTTCTGTTCTTTTTCTTGAACCCAAACTCCCTTGCCTTCGTTCTCTTGTATCTATACTACAACACTGAATGAAAGTGAAAATGTCCTTCCCTCTAAGACATGTGATCCACTCACCCCATCCACAGATTATTTAGCCCTCCCAGTTGTCTCTCCTCTGGGCTCTTTTCTGTTTACCCCTTTCCATCTGCCCATCTCCATCTCTTTACGGACTTCTAGAGTCCAAAATAGTATATTTAGATGGCTCACCATTCTGCAATGCAATCTAGGTTAGGAAGTACTGCACTGAGCATTCCTGCATGAATATATTATCTTCCCAAGGATAATTGCAAATAAAAGCAAGTGTAAAGAAAACCATTATGCTGGTTGGGCACAGTGGCTCATGCCTGTAACCCCAGCACTTTGGGAGGCTGAGGCAAGCAGATCACCTGAGGTCAGGAGTTTGAGATCATCCTGGCCAACATGGTGAAACCTCGTTTCTACTAAAAAAAAAAAAAAAAAAAAATTGTCAGGAGTGGTGGTCAGCACCTGTAGTCCCAGCTACTTGGGAGGCTGAGGTGGAGAACTGCTTGAACCCAGGAGGCAGAAGTTGCAGTGAGCCAGGATCATGCTACTGCACTCCAGCCTGGGTGAAAGAGCTAGACACTGTCTCAAAAAAAAAAAAAGAAAACCATGATGCTTTAACCTTTGATATTGAAATTTCAACTACAATTATAGCAGGCATATTAGAAATATCTCCAGGAAAAACTGCTTCTTAATGAATTCCCTCTGGCCACTTTGGCAAAGAAAGTAGAATTTATTTTCTATTCACACAGTTCTGTGTGTCTTCTCGAAGATGATTGAACAGCATAGAGTCCTATCATGGGGGAGTGGAGAGAAGAAAACATAGTAGAAGAAGGCACAGAAATTGTAGAAAACAATATGGATAAAAAATAAGTTGCAAGATACTCAAGCAAGTGAACATAGGAAGGCAGGAGAAGTTTAATCATGGAGTTTGGAGTAGAAGCATAGAGAGGACTGGTAGGAAAATGACCAGGACAATCAGTAATCTGAGAGTCAGAATAGCTAGAATCTCATTCCTGTTTAGCCACAATTATCCATTCGAACTTGGGTAATCCATTAGATTACCTCTGTGTCCTGTTCTATTAAAGTAAAAATGTCGAATGATCTCTATCATTGTATGATTCTCAATGACTTTATATCCCCAGGAGTCATTGGCAACAGTCCTGTACTAACACAAGGATTTCTGGAAGAGACATAGCTCCTGCAGTGGCTAAAGATTTCAGGAAACTGGCCAAAATGAGGAGAGGATCATTAATAACCAACAGCAGGCAGGGCAGTGCTGGGTAGTCAGATGGCAGGAACAGAGAGAGAAAGCATGTGCTGTTTTCATAGCTCAGCCTCTCTCAGAGTGATCCATGTCTTTGCCCAAGAAAAGCAAGGATGTCACCTTCTGCCTGCCCAGCAAGGTGATAGAGCACATGGGAACAGGATTCACCAAAGGCCTAAATTACAGTGATCAAGGTCCATCTGAACCGGACCAATTACCCCAATCCCCCAAGACTGTCATTTCTTATTATTAGCTTTAATAATAGTGATCAGAATTTTTCTTTAGATAGTACCATTTCTTGTCCTCCTGAAGAATTGTGAGCCCAGTTGGCAGATGGAAAAGGAATACTTATTTGGTGACTGCAAGGCCATGGGAGGAGGTAGTAGAATTAGAAAGGGGGATGTTGATAAGAGAAATAAGACCTCTTTTCATCCTAGACCTGTAGAATACTTCTAACTCCAGTTTACTGTGTTGTTTTAAAAATTAATGAGATTGGCCAGGTGTGGTGGCTCATGCATGCAGTTCCAGCAATTTGGGAGGCTGAGGTTGGAGGATTGCTTGAGCCCAGGAGTTCAAGACCAGCTTGAGCAATATAGCGAGACACCATCACTATTTAAAAAATAAAGAAAGAAAGAAAGAAAAGAGCTGAGTGTGGTGGCATGTGCCTGTAGTCCCGGATGCTTAGATGCTTAGGAGGCTGAGTTGGGTGGATCGCTTGAGCCTGGGGGATTGAAGCTGCAGTGAGCCATGATGGTACCACTGTATTCCAGCCTGGGTGACAGAGCAAGACCCTGCCTCCAAAAAAAAAAAAAAATAATAATGAGATCCACAAAAGATCTGAAAGGCCTTTATCTCCAACCTAGCTCCATTTGTGACTTTATCATAATGGAGGAACGGGAAAATCTTTCTTTTAGTTATAAGCAGGGAAAATCAAATTGCAACAGTATTTTTCTTGGAAGCCTTAATATTTATTATTAACTAAGCCTTGCAAATACAAGTCAAGAGTTCCTGAGAATAAAACATTCATCTGAATCTAACTTGTTGAGTGGTAAGAAACTATGTATTAATCCCACTTAAGAAGCCAGTGGGCTGATTCTTCCCTGTCGGTGTCCAAACCCTGAAGTGTTTTGATAGTTCCAAAAGCTGCATACATTCAGGTACCACTCTGATTCCTTGTTCCTCAAATTTCCTGTCGACCATTTGGTTCAGGAAGTGTAATCCCCAGACCTAGATGAGAGGCGTTATATGTCTACAAGGCATCCAGCTGGGTTTTTGGGATATAACATATTTAATTAGTGGATAAACATCACTCACAGTAAAGGAGGTGGGACAGATGGAGTTCTTTACCTCCCAACATCTTCTTGGCCAGACAGACAGAAGGGAGGAACCACTCTGTAGCAGTAGGGAGCCCATGGAAGCTGGCCTGCAAATGGACCTTGGTGCTTTGTTTCTGTGATTCTCTCCATGCACAGGAGGCATCCGTGCCTGGTAGCCAGTCCCCTGGCTGCCATGTCTGACAGTATCTCAGACACACATCCTGAGCATGGGCTGTCCCTGGAGAAGCTTCAGTGCTTAATCCTGTCACTGTGAATCATCCATGCACAGCCAGGCTACAGGCAGACCCGATGTTCTCAGGGAATGGCTGTCAGTCATCAGTAATCCTACAGCCTGCAAGATTGCATACTGAACCAGCATGCAGATGGACTTGCGCAGACATGGGAGAGGATGCAGGCTATGAAGGGCTCAGCCAGCACAGCCAATGTGAGAATCCGACGCCCTTTGAGGAGTTTCAGTTGGAAATGATTTCTAGGATGATGTCCTTCCAGGCAGTTTGCTACTGTCATGCTTGGAAGAGGTCACCTCCATCGTCTCTGAGACATAACCTGTTATGGTTGAGCAGGCTATCACTTTGGGGAAAATATCTAGTGGCTCCTTAAGCGAGTCAGTCATTCATCCATCCATTTATCTTCCCCGTAACCTTTAGTGAGCAACTGTTACATGCATAGCACAGACCATATAAAGTTGAGCTTGGAATGATGCATCTCATGAAAGATCAGATTTAATACTCTGGGCTGCCAAAATAAAGAGACTATTGCTCAGGGTCTGAGTAGCTGTTCCACAGCTATCACTCAGTTCTCTCTTTTCCCTGGCCCAGTCCCTCCCTACAAATACCTTCCTCCTTGAAAAATGGGAGACATAAATTTAACCACTATTCCTTAAAATATGCTATTTTCCTGATATGCTCAGAAGTAGAATACCTTAAATGTCCCAACACACTTGTGGGTATATGCCACGATGTTACTAGCACCATTTGTAGATAATGTGTCTGAAAGTGAATGAGCTTAAACAATAGCAAATCCCCTTCTGATGCTCTGCTTCTCGTGCTTCAGGGTCCAGCACTGGAGTCCTCTTTCCACTTTGGTGTGACTGTAGGTCTTGCCTGCTGCCTGTTTGTCCTTTGCAAAAGCCTCCTAAACTCTTCAACTGGATGAGTCACATGCTTGGCTGGCCAAGGGTCCCTAGGGAGCAGCCTGGGCGGCTGGGAACTATGTTCCCTATCACAAAATAGCATGCACCTAGAGAGGGGAACTAAAGGCACCTGAGAAAGTTCCTAATGTCCTCTAACAGAGAACATGAATCAAAGGTTGTTTGCAGTTTCTTCATAGGAAATTGTCTTCTGGCAACTAGATGTCTTGAACTTATCAGGTGACATTGAGAAGGGACACGAAAGTGACTCCAAATAGCTCACCATGAAACACATATTCTGAAAGCTGTCTAGGAGATATAATTTCTCAAGATTATCATGTCTGTTTTTCTTCTCTCTGTCACATTTGATTCGAGATAGAGGGCATTTATGATGGACTAACCTTTTGGTCTCCTAGGATTTGTGTATGACATTTGACTGAAAGGTATACATATTTTTCCACAGCCGTGAACTTTTCACCAGGTTTGGTCCCTGGCAGGATGGTGAAGTAGGTAAAATTTGCTTCAGGGCGCTTCATCTGCATTTTGCTGATTTTGCTTTTCAGGTTTCTTGCATTTCTTTCCCAATTCCTTTTCTCAGCCCACCGGTAGTAATCTCACCATCTCCCACCCTTGCTTCCTCATCCTGACCCATAAACACATTCCTAGGTCTTTACAAGTAGGTTAGGAGATTGTATAATATGGGATCCAGAGGTTGCCTAAGACAGTGTCTGCAAAGGTGAACTTCCCCTAGATGGGAAGGATGAACCTGGGTGCTAAGAAGGTGCTGGGGGAGTTTCCCCATGTCTCCTCCCTACCCTGCACCCTATTGCCAAGTCTAACACAGGCTTAGGTATAAGCTGGTTATGCCCTCCAATTCCAAGAGCTGCATGAAAACATCTGTGGATATATTCCCTCTCGTCAGATATTCCAAAACCAAAACTATGCTAGGACAACACAGTGGTTTTTTGTTATTGCCTATGAGATGTTTCATGGTCTAAGGGAAAGGCTCAGCTCACACATGACCTGAAAGGACAGACTTTCTTATTTATTTATTTATTTATTTATTTTGAGATGGAGTCTTGCTCTGCCACCAGGCTGAAGTGCAGTGGCACGACCTTGGCTCACTGCAACCTCCACCTCCCTTGTTCAAGCGATTCTCCTACCTCAGCCTCCCGAGTAGCTGGGATTACAGGCACACACCGCCACACCCAGCTAATTTTTGTATTTTCAGTAGAGACGGGGTTTCACCATGTTGGCCAGGATGGTCTCTATCTCTTGACCTCGTGATCTGCCCGCCTCAGCCTCCCAAAGTGCTGGGATAACAGGTGTGAGCCACCGTGCCTGGCCTAGGACAGACTTTCTTAACCTATACTGTTGAATTTTCAGACGCCAACATTTCTAAGGAATGTGGAAAAGGGGAATAAGAGGCAAGGAAATGCTGAAAGGATTGGGGAGTAATATTCCCAAGGAAAGATTAAAAGGTTTGTCCTAAACAAGGAATTCCTGAAGGGCTTAATGATGAGCTTTAAATAAATGAAGGCATATTATGCATAGAAATGACCATCTGCTCCTCATTTCTCCCTCATCTGAAATCCTACAGCACATATTGTCTGTAACATTCTTTCAGCCATTCATCATCTCCCGCTTCATGACATGTCTTCTATTGTTGCTTTGAAAAGCCATTTAACTTTATCAAGTTAAACTTTATCACGAGCTTCTCTGTCTTATTCCCAATTAAGACCATTACTCCTTGAGGGCAGGGACCAGTTCCTATTATTCTTTCTATCTCTTTCAGTTCTGAGCACTAGACTTTACACATAGTAGATACTCAAAAATCACAATAAATAGGATTTTTTATTTGGCAATTGATACTAGGAAAAATAAGATCACCTCTGCTATCAGGGAATCTAAGTTAGACGGAAGAACATAAAACTGATTGGAAAGGGTCCAGGAGGCAGTATGACAAAGGAGAAAGAGAGTACCCTGAGGAGTGGAGTATTTCGGTACTTTGTAAACCTGAGCATACATACAAAATTACCACTTTTCAGCTGCATTATCTTAGTCAAAATAAAATTTAACTTTTTTTTTTTTTTTTTTTTGAGACAGGGTCTCACTCTGTGTTCAGGCTGGAGTGCAGTGGCACAATCTCGGCTCACTGAAACCTCTGCTTCCCAGGTTCAAGTGATTCTCCCACCTCAGCCTCCCAGAGTAGCTGGGACTACAGGCACACATCACTGTGCCTGCCTAATTTTTGTATTTTTCGTAGAGATGTGGTGGTTTTGCCATATTGCCCAGGCTGGTCTCGAACTCCTGGCTTCAATTGATCCATCTTCATCAGCCTCCCAAAGAGCTGAGATTACAGGCGTGAGCCACTGTGCCTGGCCTAAAATTTAACTTCTTTTTTTGTTTGTTTGTTTTGTTTTGTTTTGTTTTATTGAGACGGAGTTTCTCTCCTGTTGCCCAGGCTGGAGTGCAATGGCGTGATCTCGGCTCACCGCAACCTCTGCCTCCCAGGTTCAGGCGATTCTCCTGCCTCAGCCTCCTGAGTAGCTGGGATTACAGGTATGAGGTATGTGCCACCACGCCCAGCTAATTTTGTATTTTTAGTAGAGATGGGTTTCTCCATGTTGGTCAGGCTGCTCTTGAACTCCCGACCTCAGGTGATCTGCCCGCCTCAGATTCCCAAAGTGCTGAGATTACAGGTGTGAGCTACTGCGTCCTGCCCTAAAATTTAACTTCTCAACCTCAATTTCCTGACTGAAAAAATTGAGATAATAATGACTACTATGCATAACTGCTTAGAGACTAAATAAGGTGAATATGTGCAAAGCACCTGCTCACAGTAGCCATGTAGTCACATGGACTTTGGAGTCAGCAGCTTATATTTGAATCATGGTTTTGTCCCTTACAGACTGTGGGACTTTGATGAAGTTAGTTTATACTAAGCCCTCTCCATAGGGCATATGCCGAGTAAATGACTTTTTAACTTTACTTCATCCTCGTCATTTACATAGGGCATACACCAAGCAACCAATGGAATCCTCTAGAGGATATTTAAACTCTAGAGAGTATTCTGTAACAGGGTCCTTGAGCCCCTATACTCTGACCCGCTCCCACACTGTGGAGTGTACTTTCATTTTCAATAAACCTCTGCTTCTGTTACTTCATTCTTCCTTTGCTTTTTTTGTGCATTTTGTCCAATTCTTTGTTCAAGATGCCAAGAACCTGGATACCCTCCACCAGTAACAGAGACTATGGAATGAAGGGCTTAGTTTTGGGTTTCTTTTTCTGTGGTCTGGCATAATGTCTTACAAAATAGGCACTAAATTATTATTTCATTAAAATGTGCAGGATTATATGGCCACTGGAACAGAGTATAAGCCAGGTCAGAGATATAAGGCAGGGCTGGAGACAGACACATGGATAGAACAGCCAAAAATACAGGGGAAAAGAAACAAAATCAGAGAAGAAGATAGAAGTGGGAATAGTGAAAGATAAAGAGACACATAGAGGGAAGGCAGCTAATGCTTTTATTTGAAGATATGCAGTTCCCTTCTACATGTAAGTCTCTTCTCTGAAAATTTCATTTCTGTTCTGTTTTCATTGCTGAAACTCTTTTAAGCAATGCCTTACTTGTGAGCTAGCCCCAACATATCTCCTGCACATATTCTTCTGAGAGAGAACATGGGAATTTGCTGGTTAGTTTAGAGTCTTTGCCTGAAGCCCACTAGAGCCATAATTGCACTCACCGTAATCTTCTCACAAGGTGCAGTGTGCCATTATGTCAGCCTACAAGGTGACAGTCCTCATCATAAACAAACCTCTTTATGACAATTGCCGAAAAGCAATCTCTGTCTCTCAAAGGTCCATCGCTTCATTAATGAACTTGTAATCCCAAGCAAACCTGTTTATCTGATTTATAGATGTTTCTGTCTCCTCAACAGACCCATACATTTCTATGCCAGTCTCAGGGATCTCCTGGCTTGTCTGACAATAATCTGATTGAGAATGGCTATCACTGTTCTTCAGTTCCACACCTTGAAACCCACAAGACCGTCTCTGGGGAACTGAAAAGTCATGCTCTGTTGCTTTCAAATGTTTTTAAAACACACAACCATTCATGGCAGACCCCAAGTGTCCAACAATATGAGTAAGACTCCCTGAGATAGGTCACACTGAGTCAAGATTCTGCATTAACCCTATAAGCTGCTTTATTCTAGGACCAGCACAAATAAAGAATGTGTAGAGAATTTTTTTTTACTTCTGAGATTATTAAATCTAGTAAAGCTAACCATATACCCATTGTTTCCAAGACAAATGTTTTCACTGTTTCAACCCAATTTAAGTGACCATCAACATTATCTTTCTCAACAAGATGGCAATATCTTTCTAACTGGTGTCCCTGAATTCACTTTTTCCTAATTCTGATCAATTCTCCACTCAGCAGCCCAAGTGATCTTAAAAATGTAACCTGGATGATGTCATTTACTTGCTTACAAATTGTTAGTTGCTTCTCATTCAAGTCAGTAACGCATAGGTCCCTTCTGGACCCTCATATGTGCCGTTCCATCTGCCTGAAAGGTTCTTCCTTCTACTCTTCACCCAACTAATATTTACCCTTCAGAACTTAGTTTAAAGTTTGCCTCCTCAGAGGTTGCAGTGGGCCGAGATCATGCCACTGCACTCCAGCCTGGGCAACAGAGCAAGACTCCATTTCAAAAATAAATAAATAATAAAATTTGCCTCCTTTATACAGCTTTCCTGATTAAGCACTCCTTCCTCATTTATACTCTCTCACATTTATCTGAAGCTGAGATTGTATATCTATTTGCATGTTTATTTATTTATGGTGTATTTTTCCAACCAAAATATAAGTTCTATGAGGACAAAGAATGTATCTCTTTGTTCACTGTATACCAGTACCTGGCACTAGCAGATGTTTAATAAGTATTTATTGAAAGAACAAATAAGTAAACAAATGCAGCCATTGGTAATCAAGGCTTCAGAAATATTAACTAGTATGAATAAATGTTAGGATATAATATCTGATGGATAAATATCAGATAATCATGTCCATCCTGGCTAACACGGTGAAACCCCATCTCTACTAAAAATACAAAAAAATTAGCTGGGCGTGGTGGCGGGTGCCTGTAGTCCCAGCTACTCTACTCGGGAGGCTGAGGCAGGAGAATGATTTGAACCTGGGAGGTGGAGCTTGCAGTGAGCTGAGATCGCACCACTGCACTCCAGCCTGGCCAACAGAGCAAGACTCCATCTCAAAAAAAAAAAAATTCAGATAAAAATTACATGTAGACTGTAATTACAAATTTAAAATGTGCATATGCATAAATACCTATCTTAGAAAAACGACTAGACAAACACATCAAATATAATACTTTTTCTCTTTGCAGTGAATAATGAGTAATTTTACTTCCATGATTACCCTTTTTTAGTATTTCCAGATTTTTTACATTAAACATGTATTACTTTAATAGAAATACTATTTTTAATCAGCTATAATCCTTTCACAGCTCCCAGTCTTCTCCCACCAGGCTCACTTCTTCATTAGTTTCTTTTTACCAAACACCATCTGCTCTCTTCTGGCTTTCCACCTTGGCTCCTGCTAATCTTCTTGCCTGGAGTAGCCTCTCCTTCCACCTGAATATACCTTTCACAGAGACCACTCCTGCTCAACAAACATCTAGCCCCCATGCCTATGGGTGAGGCGTGGTGTCCAATTCTGACCAATTAGATGAAGGTAGAAGTCATGACTGCTACTTCCAGGCCTAGACATAAAATCATCCCATAGAATCTTCCAGCCCTCTCTTCCCCTTGGTGATCTTGGAGGCCAGGTATTATAGATTGCATACTTACAAGATCACATACAGTATTACTTGGGTGAGTACTGACCAGAAAGAGCCCCTCAGTTCCCATCAAACTGTGACACAAGCAACAAATAAACAATTAGTTTGTTAAGTTCATATTATTAGGGGTTTGTTTGTTGCTGCAGTTAACATTAATTACTTGAACAACATATCTGTCTATCCTTCAGGGTTAAGATCAAGTATTACCACTCCCAAGAGATCTTTCTCTAATCATTAAAATATTCATTCTTGTACATACTTGACACTAGATCTGATCTGAGTCATTCTTGCTTCATATCTGACTGTGCATTTCAGTTTTTTGTTTGTTTGTTTGTTTTTTGAGACAGAGTTTCACTCTTGTCACCCAGGCTGGAGTGCAATGGCACGATCTCGGCTCACTGCAACCACCATCTCCCTGATTCAAGTGATTCTCCTGCCTCAGCCTCCCAAGCAGCTAGGATTACAGGGGTGCAAAACCATGCCCAGCTAATTTTTGTATTATTAGTAGAGACAGGGTTTCAACATGTTGGCATCTGGTCTCGAACTCCTGACCTTGGGTGATCTGCCCACCTCAGCCTCCCAAAGTGCTGTGATTACAGGCGTTAGGTTAGCCACCACACCTGGCCGCATTTTAGCTTCACAATTAAAATTTAAGCTCTTGGGAAAGTTTCTTTGAAGTCTGTTAAGTCTTTTGCATTACCTACATACGGTCAATTAGGTGGACAATAAAGACAAGAAAGGAAGAAGGAACTGGTTGTTTGACACTGGGAAACAATCCGTTCATGTCGATCAATTCAGCAGCCCAGGGTAAATGATTGTTTTTGGCATAGCAAAATTCATGAAAAATAGGACACAGAGGTGGAAATATCTGAGGGCAAGCAGAGAATGGGAAATATGGGAGAAATAAAATTTGTAATTTTAAAGAAATTTTAGTAACCTCTGGGGAAAATTGATTCAGTATTTATTGAACATACACTCTATGCCAAGTGTTGCAGTAGGATGTTTGTTTTGCATACATTAGTCCTCACAACAGTACCATAAATTTGGTTTTGCTATACTGGTTATATAGACAAGAAAACTGAGCTAGAATGTTCAAAAGACTTTTCCAAGATCACACAGCTATTAAATAACAAACCTATTCGTAACACCAAACCAGTCCCTCATTCAATCATCTCCTCAAAAAATATTTATTGAAAACCAACTATATGCCAAGTACTTTTCTTGGCACTGAGAAACAGACAAAATCTTTCCTTTTATAAAGCCTTCATTTTAGGACAAAGAGACATAAAATAAATACATGTATTTTTAAATATCATAATGTTTAAAACATAATATTGTGTGAATAAGTGCTATGGTGAAAAATAAAGTTCAGAAGAGGATGGGGTGGGAGGATATGGGCGAGTGGAGGTTACAGTATTAAATAAGGTGGTCGGGGAGACCTGAGACAGTGAAATTTGAGTAACTTCCTTAACTAGATAAGAGAGTGAACTATGTAGATAACCAGCAAGGGCAAAAATGCTGAGGTGGGAACCTGTGGGTCCCAATTGAGGAATAATGAGGTCAGTGTGGTTGGAGTAAAGTGGGAAATGGGGCAAAGAGGAGGAGATGATGAGGTCATAGAGATTATGTGAGCTCAGACCATGCCAAGTCCTGTAAGCTTTAACTGAGTGAGTTCTAAAGATACTCCCAGGTTTTCTTTTTTCCCCCCTCATAAAAAGAAATAGATGGCCGGGCGCAGTGGCTCACGCCTGTAATCTCAACACTTTGGGGGGCCGAGGCGTATGGATCACCTGAGGTCAGGAGTTCAAGGCCAGCCCGGCCAACGTGGTGAAACCCTGTCTCTACTAAAAATACAAAAATTAGCTGGGCATGGTGGCAGGCGCCTGTAATCCCAGCTACTTGGGAGGCTGAGGTAGGAGAATTGCTTGAACCTAGTGGGTGGAAGTTGCACTCCAGCCTGAGCGATAGGGCAAGACTCCATATCAAAAAAAAAAAAAAAAGAAAAGAAATATTCCTAGCTTTCAACAAATAACAAATGACCTGGCTCAAATCTTGAAAGAGTCAGTTTATTTATTTATTTATTATTTGTTTGTTTTAATTATTTTTTTTTTTTTGAGACAGTGTCTTGCTCTGTCACCCAGGCTGGAGTGCAGTGGCGCCATCTCGGCTCACTGCAACCTCCGCCTCCCGGGTTCAAGCGATTCTCCTGTCTCAGCCCCCAAGTAGCTGGGATTACAGGCACCTACTACCACACCCAGCTAATTTTTATATTTTTAGTAGAGACGGGGTTTCACTATGTTGACCAGGCTCATCTTGAACTCCTGAGCTCAGGCAATCTGCCCACCTCGGAATCCCAGTGTTTTAGCATTACAGGTGTGAGCCACTGCGCCCAGCCTGGAAAGAATTACTTTAGATCTGCTGTTGAGATTAAATTTCATAAGAGGAAAGGCCAGAAACAAAAGATCAGTTAAGAGGCTGCAACACTAATCCAGGTAAGAAATTACAGCAACCTGAACCACCTGGTTGTTGACTTTGTACATAGTTGGAGTGCTGGAGCTTTTAAGATTTGTTGGTGGATCTCTTAGAGTATGTGAGAAAAAGGCACAAGGATGGCTCCAAGATTTTGAGGTTGATCAACTGGAACAATGGGGTTGCTGTTTACTGAAAAGTAAAGACTGAGGAAAGAACAAGTTTGAATAAGAAGTTCAGGTGTATCCTGAAGCTCTCAGATCATAAAAAATTATTGCTAGACTTAAGAAATGAAATAGCAACACAACAATAGTAGGGGACTTCAATACTCCACTGACAGCACTAGACAGGCCATCAAGACAGTAAGTCAACAAAGAGACAATGGACTTCAACTATACCCTAGAACAAATGCTCTTAACAGATATTTACAACATTCTTCCTAACAACTGCAGAAAATACATTTTTCTCATCAGTATATGGAACATTCTCCTAGATAGACCATATGATAGGCCACAAAAGAAGTCTCACTAAATTTAAGAAAACCAAAATTATATCAAGAATTTTCTCAGACCACAGTGGAATAAAACTGGAAATTAATTCCAAAGGGAACCCTAAAACTATACAAATACATAGAAATTAAAATCTGCTCTTGAATGTTTGATGCATTAACAATGAAATGAAGAAGGAAATTTATAAATTATTTGAAATGAATAATAATAGTGACACAACATATCAAAACCACTGGGATACAGCAAAAGTGGTGCTAAGAGGAAAGTTCATAATGTTAAATGCCTACACCAAAAAGTCTGAAAGAATGCAAATAGACAACCTAATGTCACACCTCAAGGAACTAGAGAAGCAAGAACAAACTAAACTCAAACCCACCAGACGAAAAGAAATAAAAAAGATCAGAGCAGAACTAAATGAAATTGAAACAAAAAAAATACAATACAAAAAATAAATAAAAGGAAAACCTGGTTCTTTGAAAAGATAAACAAAATTGATAGACCATTAATGAGATTAATCAAGAAAAGGAGAGAGAAGATCCACATAAGCTCAATCAGAAATGAAACTGGAGATATTGCAACAGATGCCACAGAAATACAAATGATCATTCAAAGCTACTATGAGAACCTTTATGCACACAAACTAGAAAATCTAGAGGAAATGGATAGATTTATGGAGATATACAACCCTCCTAGATTAAATCAGGAAGAAATAGAAAGCCTGAACAGACCAATAACAAGCAGCAAGACTGATTCAGTAATTTAAAAAAATTGCCAACATAAAAACGTCTAGGACCAGATGTATTCAAAGCTGAATTCTACCATACATTCAAAGAAGAATTGGTACCAATCCTACTGAAACTATTCCAAAATATAGAGAAAGAGGGAATTCTCCCTAAATCATTCTATGAAGCCAGTATCAACCTAACACCAAAACCACTAAAGGACATAACAACAACAACAAACTACAGACCAATATCTCTGATGAACATAGATGCAAACATCCTCAACAAAATACTGTACTAACTGAATTCAACAGCACAACAAAAAAATAATACATCATGATCACATGGGCTTCATCCCCAAAATGCAGGGATTATTTAACATATGCAAGCCAATAAATGTGATACATCACATAAACAGAATTGTTTTTAAAGAAAATCATATGATTGTCTCAATAGATGCAGAAGAAGCATTTGATAACATCCAGCATCCCTTTCTGACAAAAACCCTCCATAAAATAGGAATAGAAGGGACTCATCTCAAAGTAATAAAAGCCATATATGACAAACCCATAGCCAACATCTACAGAATGGGGAAAAGTTGAAAGCATTCCCCCTGAGAACTGGAACAAGACAACATAGTACTTGAAGTCATAGCCAGAGCAATTAGACAGGAGAAAGAAATAAAGGGCATCCAAATTGGAAAAGAGGAAGTCAAACTGTCACTGTTTGCTGATGATACAATCATATACCTAGAAAACCCTAAAGACTCATCCAAAAAGCTCCTAGATCTGATAAACAAATTCAATAAAGTCTCAGGATACAAAATCGATGTACATAAATCAGTAACACTGCTATATACCAACAATGGCCAAGATGAGAATCAAACCAAGAACTCAATCCCTTTTACAACAGCTGCAAAAATAAAATAAAATAAAATAACTTAGGAATCTACTTAACCAAGGAGGTGAAAGATTTCTACAAGGAGAACTACAAAATACTGCTGAAAGAAATCATAGATGACACAAAGAAAGAAAAACACATCCCCATGCTCATGGATGAGAAGAATCAATATTGTGAAAATGACCATACTGTCCAAAGAAATTTACAGATTCAATGCAATTCTGATCAAAATACCATCATCATTCTTCACAGAACCAGAAAAAACAATCCTAAAATTCAAATGGAACCAAAAAATAGCCTGCATAGCCAAACAAAAAGAACAAATCTGAAGGCATCACATTATCTGACTTCAAATTATAATATATGGCTATAGTTACAAAAACAACGTGGTACTGGTATAAAACTAGGCACATAGACCAATGGAACAGAATGAGAACCCAGAAATAAAGCCAAAACTCACAGCCATCTGATCTTTGACAAAGCATACAAAAACATAAATTGGAGAAAGGACACCCTAATTCAATAAATGGTGCTGGGGAAACTACCAAGCCACATATAGGAGAATAAAACTGGATCCCCATCTCTCACCTTATGCATAAATCAACTCAAGATGAATCAAAGACAAAAGTCTAAGACCTGAAACCATAAAATTTCTAAAAGATAACATCAGAAAAACTCTTCTGAATATTGGTTTAGGGAAAAAATTCATGACTAAGATCCTCAAAACAAATGCAACAAAAACAAAAGTAAGTAAATGGGACCTAATTAAAGTAAAATGCTTCTGCACAGTAAAAGAAATAATCAGCAGAGTAAACAGACAACACACAGAGTGGGAGAAAATATTTGCAAACTATGCATCTGACAAAGGGCTAGTATCCAGAATCTACAATGAACTCGAACAAATCAGAAAAAAAAAAATCCCATTATTTTAAGTGAAGTAACACAGGAATGGAAAACCAAGTATCATATGTTCTCACTTATAAGTGAGAGCTAAGCTATGAGGATGCAAAGGCATAAGAATGATATAATGGACTCTGGGGGTTCGGGGAAGAAGGCTGGGATGGGGGCAATAGAGATGGGTACAGTATACACTCCTTGGGTGACAGGTGCACTAAATTCTCATTAATCACCACAACAGAGCTTATCTATGTAACTAAAACCAATCTGTATCCCCAAAACTACTGAAATAAAAAATTTTAAGTTAGAATTAAAAAAATTCAAAAAAGAAGTTCAGGCATTTGGGTTTGGACATCATAGATTTGACATATATTTTTGCTATCCAAATGGAGCCATTGTGTAGGAGTCAGACATATGACTCCAGATATTAAGGAGAGGTTTAGACTAAAAATACAAATTTGGGCTTGCCAGCAGATACATGGTGCTTCGGACCACGAGCCTGATTAAAGGCAATAGTGTAAATATAGGATAGGTTGTTAGAATCGAGTGTAAATAGAGACTAATGATGGTGCAGAACTGAGCCTAGTGTGTTTCCAACCTTAGAGTTTGTGGAGATAAGAAGGGAAACTGAGAAGGAGCCATCAATGAAATAAGAGGATAACCAGAAAAATTATAGTGTCCCCAAAGCCAAGTGAGGAATATACATCAAGGAAAAGAAAGTGATCAGCTGGCTCAAGTGCCGCTAATAGTCACAAGACACAGAGGGAAAATTAGCTATTATATTTAGTAACATGGACGTCATTGTTGGCACTTAAAAGAGGAGTGTTGATGGAATAGTTCAAATGGAAGCTTGATTGACCATGATTTAAGAGACAATATAAGAAGAAAAAATTGCAGGCAGTAAATGTAGGTGACTATTTTGAAGTGTTTTGCTATAAAGGGGAGCAAAAAATGAGACAGAAGTTACAGAGGCATGTGGTCTCAAGAAAATATTTTTCAGTTGGGAGAAATACTACATTTGCATTCTGATGAAAATGCTCTGTGAAAGAAGAAAAAAACTGATGATATAGGGGAAAGCAAAGAATTGATCAAGTATATTCTCAAGTGGGCAAGAAAGGATGGGATCTAGCACACAACTCAGCCCTTGAGATAGAATCCTGAACTGTGTATCCAGAATAACTATAACAGGAGGGCACAGATAACAGGTGAGAGATGGTTGCTGTGATGGGAGGTTGGTAAAGTTCTCTTCCGAGTGATTTGATTTCTTGAAAAAATTGGAAGTAAGGTAATCAGCGGAGTATCAGCATGGGGATGATTACCGGAGATTTAAAAGAGAGAAGATAGTATGAAATAGTTGTCCAGAAGACAGCACAGGTTCGTTGCCCAGAGTTGACAGAAATTTGGATTTAACTAACGAATAGGGTTTTGCCCAGGTTAGTTCAGTTTGAAGAGAGATAGGCAACGGAATTGAGGAAATATGCAAGGGGGTGATTATGATGTGGCTAAGGATGGAAATGATGACTTGAAGGGGATGAGTGACAAAAAAATATGGTTGTAGAAATGTATTGCAGGTTCTAATGTGGTAAAGAATTGTGCTGGGGTAACAGAGGCAGTAAAAAAGACAGGAGGAAATTGGAGAGGGGGATATTATGGAGGCAATGGAGATATTGGTAACAACAGGTGCTGTAACAGGTGGAACCCAAGATCATCAGAGAAGAGAGAGGCAAGGAAGTGAGCAGACAGTGAAGCAGATGCTGTGGGTGTCCTCCTAGATCTCCTGGGTCCACTCTGGACGTCACACTAGACAATTCTCATAAATGCTGATGGCTTCCTATATCTCTCTGCCTGGAGGGTATTTTCTGGCCACAGGCATTTCCTTGGTTTACAGTATGTGGAGGATTCATGCTCCAGGAGAGAACCTTAAACAATTAGGAAAATAAATAAATACCCCAACTGTCTTGCTCCTCTGGCATGGAGTTCTGCACTATGTTCTACAATCTCTTAGAAGGTGCTAGTGAGATTCAGCCTCAGTTCTCACAGCAGAAACTCATTCATTAATCCATCTGTTTTTGGCTTTTCTTTCTTTGTCTTGCTTTCTTAACTGGACTTACCAAATGAATCACCTACACCAAATACTTGTCTCAGGTATGGTTTAGGAAAACCCAATTTATTTATTTATTTATGTATTTTTTGAGATGGAGTCTCGCTCTGTCGCCCAGGCTGGAGTGCAGTGGCACGATCTCGGCTCACCTCAAGCTCCACCTCCCGGATTCACACCATTCTTCTGCCTCAGCCTCCGAGTAGAGTAGCTGGGACTACAGGCACCCACCACCATGCCTAGGTAATTTTTTTGTATTTTTAGTAGAGATGGGGTTTCTCCATTTTGGTCAGGCTGGTCTCAAACTCCCGAACTCAGATGATCCGCCTGCCTCGGCCTCCCAAAGTGCTGGGATTACAGGCATGAGCCACTGCTCCAGGCCTATTTATTTATTTTTTTAATTTAATTTTTTTTTTGAGACAGAGTTTCGCTCTTGTCACCCAGGCTGGGGTGCAGTGGCATGATCCTAGCTCGCTGCAACCTCCACCTCCTGAGTTCAAGTGATTTTCCTGCCTCAGCCTCCCAAGTAGCTGGGATTACAGGCATGCACCACTATGCCCAGCTAATTTTTGTATTTTTAGTAGAGATGGGGTTTTGCCATGTTGGCCAGGCTGGTCTCAAACTCCTGACCTCAGTTGATCCACCCGCCTCAGCCTCCCAAAGTGCTGGGATTACAGGCGTGAACCACCTCACCTAGCCAGAAAACCCAACTTAAGGTAGTTGAAATTTTGGAAGGACAAGTCTTGTGGACGTTGAAATTACCAACGAATAATTAGACAATTCTCAATTATATATGAAGATGGTATTATTCACAGCTCTATATTTTAGAAGTAAAAATCTTGTTTTTGTGTATATTGGTGGTGGGGGGAGCAAACTGCTATTATATTACCATTGCAGATTGGTTAAATACAGCATAGAATGGTTTTAATGAAACCCAATGTCGTTTTTCACAATGATTATAGCTGTAGATACAGCATAGTCATTAAAAGACATTCAAGTTATGTGCACATCTCTCTCTCTCTCTCTCTCTCTCTCTATATATATATATACACACACACGTATATGTGTTTTTTAAGAAAATTATTTAGCAAGTATGTATTACTTGTGTAATACAAGTTTAAAAAACAATAACAGAGTTTTTTACCACCAGTCTGGGGAAGGCCCTACATTGTGTGAGCTTGGAGCTCAGTAATCTCACATATAAGATAAGGAGAAATTATGGTAACCAGTTGTCCCAGTTTGCCCTTAATCTGAGGGGTTCCCTGGAATGCTACTAGAATTTCAGTGCTAAAACCAGGCAAACTGAGATGGTCCATCTCATGTGGAAATATTTATGCTCTTTTCCTTGTCCCTTCCAATAAATGGACAAATGACAAAACAGAATATCTTGGAGTTTTGGACAGAAAAGCATGATAGAAACAGAAGAGATCATTATTATTCAGGAAACATGCTTTTTATTTTCTGGCTGTAAAGATCCAGGGATGAAATCAACACATTTGGTTGATAATCCCCTTCACATGTGCATGCTAGTTTGACTTTCATTTTCATCTGCAGGGAGTCTTTAACAGCTGTTACTGTCAGGCCTTTGCACTTGGCTTCCAAACTATAAGAACCACACAAGAGCAAGAATATTCTGAGAATATAGTTGCAAGGGCTTAAGTAAAAATAGCTCACCAGCATTATTATATAGAAATTCACAGCCTCTCTTTTCCTTCTCTCTCAGTCTCTTGCTCTCTTGGTTTCTCTCCCATGGGTACCAGGCAGAGATTCCAGAATGGGCACCGCTGCGCCTGTTTGGTATGCACACCATGTAGACAGTCCAGACAGAAGCCTCTCATTTAATTGTTCATTAGTGCTATCTGTTAAATAATGTTTAATGTTATCTAAGAAGTTTAATGGCATCATTATTGGAAATATTGCAAAGACAAAAGGAAAAAAGTCATCCTTCTTGTATTTTCTGGACGTGTCACAAGCCTGCACATCTCAAGACTTGAGACCGTTAGCTATAGAAATAACACCTGTGCAATTTTCTTTCATTTACCCCAATTATATATGCTCTCCTTCTGTCCTGAAAGAATGAGTTGACCACACCTCCATTTAAAGCAGGCTCTCCAGACCCTTCTCAAACACACTTGTATGGGGATTCAACTTTGGATGAGGGAAGTCTAAGGGTGCTAAACTTTGCCATGTTTAGAAGAACCCAAAGCAAATAGAAAAAAACTGCCTGAGCTGTCTCAGAACAATTAAGTGAAAATCTCTTGTGTGGATCCTGGGCATTGGTATGTTTAAACATTTCACCAGATGGTTATAGTGTGAAGTTTGTTCCAGTCCCTTTTCATATCTCAGCTCAATACTTGCTGCATTCATTCATTCATTCACTCATTCATAACTAATTTATTGAGTATCCTCTATGAGTCTAGCACTCTTCTATGCCCTATAGAAGATAGAAAAGAAGTGGAAGATACAATTCCAACCCTTAGGAGAGTTATAAACCAGAGGTGGAAACAAGCTAAGCACATAGGTGAAGTGCCCTATAAAAGATAAAATTGCAATCAGTGAGAGTAATCAGGGAATACTTTATAGAGTAGGTTATATTTAACAATGAGAATTTAATTCCTAAAGCCAATAGACCCGGGCCTGACCAGATTCCACAGTATCTAGATCTATAAATCTATGCAAGTTATTTTCTTCTTTGAGGCTTATTTTTCCCCCATTTACAAACTATCCTCCAAAGTTCACAAAGATCATCTTAGATAACATATGGGAACAAGCTTTTGTAAACTCTCAAGTGCTACTAGAGGTTTTATTAGTGATTGTATACTAAATATAGGGCCACATTTCATATTATCTGTCGCCATCCTAGCTATCAAAACTTATTTTCATTTCTAACTTTAAAACCTAAGCCCTTTTCTTTATTTGAATGTTCATCTATAACTGGACTGATCTAATGTGCTTTCCTAAAACCTGCCACATATATTCCCATCGTCATATCTTTGCTGATGCCGCTTCCTCCCAGAAATATCTTTTGCCCCAACTCCCTAATTCTTATTCAAATTGCTCCATTCAATTTATTGACAACTTGAACATCACGTATTTTTTTAACTATGCTAACTCGCATTGATTTCACTCTCCTGAAAACTTACAGCCATTATTATACTGCATCATAATATGTCTTGGTTGTTTTATTTTTTCATGTTTCTGTCATGTCTCATCAACTGGTTTATAAGTTCTTTGAAGAACATGTACCATGGGCTGCATTGCTTTGCTCAATTACAAAGACTTGTGGCAAATAGAGGTTTAGTACATACTTGGAAGGATAGAAAAGAAGAAAGGAAGGGAAGAAGGAAGAAAAGAAGGAAAGGAGGAAGGCAAAGTGTAAGGGAAGGAGGGAGGGCAGAACTGATGAGGGAAGATACAAGAATTGGAAGGAAGAAGAAGACTTATTCTTCTACTTGAACTGAGATTTCCTAAGTTTTTAACCCTTGATTTAGTGGCTTTAGCACCCACACAGTTTTAGGTGCCGATCTCATCAAGAGGAATGTCTACTCATTGCCCTTCACATAAAACTGCAATAGCCTCTTGCTCTAAACATCTTTTTACCTATTTTTTCCCTGAAATCTTGCCTCTTCCTCGAGTTTGATATTTTAAGCTTCACTTGTACAAAGGGCTAAATGAGGCTTATTTCTTCTACCTCTACTTCTTTCCCTTATTTTGAGAATGAGGAGAGGGAAGTCTGATGATAGCTTCCTGGCAGGAATATTTGAGATGCCTGCTCTTTGACTCATACTACACTCAAAGTTTGATGAAATCCAAAATATGACTTTTTTATGCTTCAGAATTTTTGTGCCTTGTCTAAAAAAAATTGCCTACATCAAGGTTACAAATATTTTCCTTTACGCTTTCTTTCCTGTTTTATAATTTTGGTATTTATATTTAAGTCTACAATCTATTTTGAATTAGTTTTTTTTTTTTTTTTTTTTGAGATGGAGTCTTGCTCTGTTGCCCAGGCTGGAGTGCAGTGGTGCAATCTCGGCTCACTGCAAGCTCTGCCTCCCAGGTTCACCCATTCTTCTGCCTCAGCCTCCCAAGTAGCTGGGACTACACGTGCCCGCCACCATGACTGGCTAATTTTTTGTATTTTTAGTAGACACAGGGTGTCACCGTGTTAGGCAGGATGGTCTCAATCTCCTGACCTTGTGATCTGCCTGCCTCGGCCTCCCAAAGTGCTGGGATCACAGGTGTGAGCCACCGCACCCAGCCTGAATTAGTTTTTATGTATGGTGTGAGATAGAGGTTGCAATTTATTTTTTGTTTGTTTTTTCCCTAGGGATATCAAGTTGCTCCAGCACCGTTTATTGAAAACATCCTTTTTAAAATTGATTTGCCTTGGCAGTCTGGTTAAAAATAAGTTGACCTGCCTGGGTGTGGTGGTTCACATCTGTAATCCCAGCACTTTGGGAGGCCAGGGCGGGTGGATCACAAGGTCAAGAGATCGAGAGCATCCTGGCCAACATGGTGAAACCACATCTCTACTAAAAATACAAAAATTAGCTGGGCATGGTGGCACATGCCTGTAGTCCCAGCTGCTTGGGAGGCTAAGGCAGGAGAATCTCTTGAACCTGGGAGGCAGAGATTGCAGTGAGCTGAGATGGCGCCGCTGTGCTCCAGCCTGGGTGACAGAGTCAGACTCCATCTCAAAAAAAAAAAAAAAAAGTTGGCCCTTTATCTTTAGTTATATTTCTAGATTCTGTTCTATTTCATTGGTCAATGCCTCTATACTTATATCTCTATCACTCTGTCTTGATTACTTTATAGTGAGTCTTAAAATCAGGTACTTCTTTGAGTCATAAAACTTTATTCTTTTTAAAAATGGTTTGAATATTCTGGAGTTTTTTACATCCATATAAATATTAGAATCAGCTTGTAAACTGTTACTTAAAAAATCTTAGTGGAAATTTTGAATAAAGCACAGTTGAACTGTTAGATCAATATGGGGAGAACTAACATCTGAACAATGTTGAGATTTCTAGTTCATAAACATGTCTCTTCATTTTTAGATCCTTTATAATTTTTCTCAGCAATGTTTTATGCTTTTCAGGGTAGAGTTCTTGCACTTATTTTGTTAAATATATCTTTGAATATTTTATATTTTTCATGCTATTGTTAATAATATCACTTTTTCAATTTTTTTCATTATTCATTGCTAGTATTTAGAAATAACATTGATTTTTCTACATTGATTTTGAATCTTGAAATCTTGGCAAGCTTATTTATTAATGCTAGTAATGTTTTTACAAATACTTAAGAGTTCTTTGTTCATAATCATGTCATTTGTGGATTAAGAC
The DNA here is from genome assembly GCF_000001405.40 of Homo sapiens. Taxonomy (NCBI): domain Eukaryota; kingdom Metazoa; phylum Chordata; class Mammalia; order Primates; family Hominidae; genus Homo; species Homo sapiens. The sequence goes on from NC_000001.11 coordinate 208,870,331, forward strand.
AACTTCACTTCTTTTTTCCAATCTGTATTCCTTTATTGCTTTATTATTTCCACTGTGATGTTGGATAAAGATGGTGAGAGCAGATATTCTTGATCTTAGGGAAAAATTGATCAATATTACACCGTTAAGTATGATTCCAGCTTTCGTAGATATATTTATCAGATTAAGTTAGATTCCTTGTAAGTTTGCTGGGAAGCTTTTATTTTTTCAATATGTCATGAATTGGTGTTGACTTTTTCTGAATCTATTGAGATATTCACTATTGTTACCTTTCATTCTGTTAATGTGTTAAATTACATTGATCCTCAAACGTTAAACCAACCTTGCATTTCCAGTATAAATTTCATTTTGTGGTTTACAATCTTCTTTATATCTTGTAGAATCAGTTTGCTACATTTTGTTAAGAATATCTGCAGCTGTGTTTAGGAAGGAGTGTGTTTTCTTTTGCAATCTCTTTTTCTGGCTTTGGTTTAGTAATAATGTTGGCTTCATACTTGAGCAGTAAAGTCTTCTGAACTGTTTGTGCTGGATTGGTATTACTTCTATTTTATATAATTGATAAAATTTAACCAATTTAGACCTGGTGTGTTCTTTGTAAACATATTTTTGACTATGAATTCAATTTTTTAAGTAGATGTAGGGCTTTTCAGGTGTTCTATTTCTTCTTGTATCAGTTCTCATAATATGAGTCTTCCAGGGTGTTTTTTCATTTCAACTGAGTTGTTTAATTTATTGAAAAAAGATTGTTCTAATATTTTAGATTTTTTTTTCTCAAAGGGAAATGCTTAGGATTTATTAAGTGAAAAAAACAATGCACCTGATTGTCTTTTTAATGTTTGGAGAGTCTCTAGTGATTATACATGCTCATTCATTTTAATATTGGTGATTTGCCTTTTCTCATGTTTTTTTCATGGTTATTCTAGCAACACATTTAATAATTTTATTATCTTTTAAAAGAATCAGCTTTTAGCTGTACTGATTGTTTTTCTTTTTCTTTTTTTTCTTTTTTTTTTTTGAGATGGAGTCTTGCTCTGTTGCCCAGGCTGGAGTGCAGTGGCACAATCTCAGCTCACTGCAAGCTCTACCTCCTGGGTTCACACCATTCTCCTGCCTCAGCCTCCCGAGCAGCTGGGACTATGGGTGCCCGCCACCATGCCTGACTAATTTTTTTGTATTTTTAGTAGAGACGGGGTTTCACCATGTTAGCCAGGATGGTCTCGATCTCCTGACCTGGTGATCCGCCTGCATCGGCCTCCCAAAGTGTTGGGATTACAGGCGTGAGCCACTACTGATTGTTTTCTGTTATTTTATTCCTGCTTTATTTATTTCAACTATTATTTTGTCCTTATACTGACTTTGAAATTAGTTCATTTTTTTTAGCTTCACAGCAGATCATTGATATTAGACATTTCTTTTCTAATATAAACATTTATATGTTTTTTGAAGCAGTGGTTTAAGTCTTTCCCATAAATTGTAATATATTATGATTGTATTATTATTAGGTCAAAAATATTTTCTAATTGCTTCCTGATTTCTTCTTTGACACATGGGTTTTTTGAGATTTCCTTTGTTCTTTTGAGATTTTTACTTTCCAAATATTAGGGGATTTTCCAGAATTTTTTAAAATTTATTTTTAATTTAACTATGTTGTGGTCAGAGAATATACTTCTAATTATTCCAATTTATTTAAATTTATTAAGACTATTATTATTGTCTTGTATTATGCCCTATCTTAATGTTTATCTGTACTTTAAAAGAATATATATGCATCCATTTTGTGTATAGTATGCTAGAAGATTCAATTATGTTAAGGTAGTCGATAATGGTGTTCAGATCTTTTATAGGATTGCAGATGTTCTTTTTACTTGGTCTATCCATTGCCAAGTGAGGGGTTTAGAAATTTTCAATTATAATTATGCAAGTGTCAAGTTTTCCAACCACATTTAGAAGTATACAACTTTTCTCTTTAATTGACTCTTTTATCATTGTAAAATATTTCCTTTTGTCTTCAATAACATTTCTTGCTCTCACATCTACTTTGCCTTCATTCACATAGCCCCTGTAGTTTCCCATGATTCTAGTTTGCGTGGTATACATTCTCCATTTTTTCCTTTTACCCTATCTGTACTTTTATATTTAAAGGGAATCTTTTCTATTTAAAGGGAGTTTTCTATAGGTGGGATTAGGTTTCGCTTTTCCATACAATCTATCAATTTCTGTCTTTCCCTTAGAATATTTAATTTAATGTTATTTATTGATTTAAGTCTGCCAGATTTACATTTGGTTTCTATTTATTCTACCCTTTCTATTCTTTTTTCTTCTTTTCTTGTCTTTTATGGTTCTAAAAATGTATTTTAGTATTTCCTATTATCTTCTTTATTAACTGATAACCTCTTAAAATAGTGGTTGCTATAGGATTTACAATACACATCACTATCTTATCACAATCTATGTTACATTTGAATAATATATCAGCTTCTGCATAAAATTTTAAAAATTACTAAAGAGTAACTCTCTGTCCTTATTTTTCCTTTGTGCTATTATTGTCATAGATTTTACTCATGTGTCTGTTATGAGCTCCACATGCATTATTAATTTTGCTTTAAATAGGCAATTATCTTTTAAGAAAGTTAAAAATAAATAAATATATGTGTGTATATATACACACATAATTATTCATATAAATATACATGCACACAAGCACATATAATTACTCCTGTATTTACTATTTTGGGCACTGCTCATTCCTTTGTGTCAATCTAGGTTGCCATTATCATTTTTTGAAGGATGTATTTACTGATTTTAGACTTCTAGTTTAAGCGGTTAACTTCTGGGGTTTTATTTTTTGTTGTTTTTTTTTTTTCCAGAACTTTAAAGATATTTATGCACTATCTTTTGGCTTCCATTATTTCTGATAGGAAGTCTTCTGTTCATTATTTGTTTATTTTTCTGTACCTATTGTTTCTTTTTTCCCTTGGGTGCTTTTTAGCTTTTCCTTCATTATTGGTTTGCAGTAATTTTTTTTCTTTATATCCTTGAGTATATTTATAATAGCTGTTTTATGTTTATAATAGCTGTTTTTTTATCTTTTTGTCATTTATGGATCTTCTTTTGCAAATTGATTTTTCTCTTTACTATTGGTCATATTTTCTATCTTTTTTGCATGTCTGGCAATTTTTATTAGATGTTTGACATCATAAATATTATATTTTTGAATGCTAGATTTTGTTGCCTTCCTTTAAATACTGTTGAGTTTTGTTTTGGCAAGTAATTAAAATATATGGGATAATCTTAATCCCATTAAACAAGTCTTTCAGCTTTGTTAAGGTGTGTTTAGAGTAGCTTTCACTCTGTATTTATTTTATCTTACTGTTAAAGTGTGACCCTTCTCAGTTCTTTCTAATCTGACTGATTGGAACTTGAATGCATCTTAGTCGTATCTCTGGGAATTGTTCAGCTTATAGCTATAAGTTAGTTGTTCTTCATGATTGCTCTTTGTTCACCCTTGTGAAATCTTACCCAATATGTGCACAACTTAGTATTCAGCAACCAACTCAAAAGAGCTCCAGTGCTGGTTTATAAAATTCTTTGTGCAGCTCTCTCCAAGAAATGTGAGACTCCTCATCCTCACTAAACTCTACTCTATCTTCAACTCAGCAAGAATACTGTGCTCCTCTTGTATTCCAATTTCTGCACTGTACTCCAATAATTACCTTTATGCAGAAAGCCAGTACAACTGTAGGGCTCAACTAATTTGTTTCTCTTCCCTCAGGGATCATAGTTCTGTATCGCTTTTCATCTAATGCTTGAAAACAGCTGTTTCATATATTTTATCGTTTTCTAGAATTTTTGCTTTGTTTTGTTTTTGTTTCTTTGTTTTGTTTTGTTTTGTTTTTAATTCCAGGGAGGGAAGCCCAGTACTAGTAACTACATCATGGCTGACAACAGAGTCATCTGACTTAGTGTTTAGTCCTCCTCCTTTCTGATGGTATCTGTGGTCTGGCAGTACACCTAATGCTTCTTTTATGGAAATCTTTGTAATTGCCTCCCCCAATTGTGACAGAGAAGGAGATTACATGGAGTGAACAGATATGTCAAAAAGGAAAAGATATAAGACATACTTTGATGAAAGTGATTGGTAAATACTTAATTCCAAGATATAGGAAATCGATATCCATGACTTAGAGAAATACAGAAAATATCTGGGTATGGGGAATACAGGTTACCAGCTTTGTATTAAATATGATAAAGTTAGGGAAAAACTGATCACTGATGCTATCAACTTCTGAGAATTTTATGGCACATCTTTTCTTATGAATTCAAAGACCTAGTATACTTGGACTCGTCTCATCTTTTTGGCTCAAATTCTGTTATCTAGTAAGCATGAAATAAATTTCCTATGAGATGCAAATGGCTCGTACAACTCAATATGCTATTCTACTAAAAATTTTAGAAAGTCCAAAACCTTACATTGAAAAAAATAATTACTAATTGTGAGAACTTAGGTCTCAGCCAAGGGTATGGAAAAGAAATATAGAAAGACTAGGTCCTTCCCAGCACTCCTTACATAGAGCACAATATGGGTTACTCTTACCTGCTTCCTAAATCAGGCTAGAGTGGGAAAGAAGCAACAAATATTACAGCATTTTAAGAAAGATCTAAGAGGAAGGAAAGAACACCCACTATTTCACCTCTTTAATAACCCCACAGTCACTGCAAAGCATGGCTCAAGCCTTGCAATAACCTCCACCCCTCCTCCCCCACCCATTAGCTGGAGCCAGTGAATTATGGGGAATGGCAGGAGCCCTCCAGCCTCTAGGGGGAAAATGACTTTAATCTCATCAGAGCCCTGAAGAAGGGACTATTAAAAGAGTTAATGGAACGAACATCTGAATAGATGAGTCAGGCCATGACAAACCAAAGTCATTTTTTGATTTAAGGAGAAAAAAAGAAAAAGAAAACTGGTGATATGGATCCTGTGGCTCCGATGGCCTCCAAGCCCCCGATCAAATCAATTCTAAATGCAGTAGAGTTCAGATAATTTTAACGAAGAACTCCAGAGGTGATGTAGTGAATTTGGTCACAAAGGTGAAATAGGAAAAAGGTATAGTTCACTACAAGAAGGATTCCTCCCACGGTGTTACCTGAATTACAAGTGGGAGAAAATGAGGGATTAAGCTAGTTTAAAATGTTGACAACAGAATATAGGTTGTTGGAGTTTCAAAGGGGTCCAGTTAGGAAGTTCCCTTTGAAGGTGCACTTATATATAAGAATGAAGTTCAACTATGGTTTACCAAACAAAATAACCAGGCTTAGCAAGAAGCAACAGAGGATAAAAGTAAACTGTTAAAGTCCAGTCAGCAATGAAAATATGCCCACAAAATGAGTTTTCCCAGTCACTCCAGGAGAGACAGTGAAATTATCATGATTGTTTGAATTTGCCAAACTCCTTTGGATATTTGTAGATTTAGTCTATAGTCAGCAGAGATAAAAGAGGGTACAAGTTTTTTTTGGCCATGCTTATTCTGAAAAGATCTATCCTAGGATGCATAATTTAGTGAACAAAAATGTGGCCATATAACTAATTTTCTTTTAAAAAGTTCCCAAATGTAGATCATCAAGAATATTTTGGAAACAATGATGTATCTAGCCATAGGTCCTTGGATGCCATCAAAAAAGTTAATTGGACTGAGATACTTTATCTCAGCTAACTCTATGGACCCTAGTTTTGAGAAACTGCATCTTTGGAAGCCCTTGCATCCTTGTTGAAGGAGTTGCTATCCAAAGTTCCTTTGTGAGTGAATAATGTGTTCTCATTCCAAAGAAATGAAAAATGACTGCGATCTGGACTTCTGAGACTCTTAAAAATTACTAGGCTAATATCAAAACACTACAAGTTAATGCCTAGAACTCAAAGTCAGCTCCACCTAGTGTGAAACATCTGATTGCCTTAAATGAGGTCAGAAGGTGAGACTAAATATACTGAGTACCAGCATGGTGGTTCACACCTGTAATCCTGGCACTTTGGGAGGCTGAAGTGGGTGGATCGCTTGAACCCACGAATTTGAAACCAGCCTGGGCAATATGGCAAAACCCCATCTCTACTAAAAATACAAAAATTAGCCGGGTGTAGTGGCATGTGCCTGTGGCCCAGCTGCTCTGAAGGCCGAGGTGGGAGGATTGCTTGAGCTCAGGAAGTTGCAGCTGCAGTGAGCCATGATCCTGCCACTGCACTCCATATTGGGTGGCAGAGCAAGACCCTGTCAAATAAATAAATTAATTAAATAAAGTATACTGACTACCTACTAGGTATCAAGCAGTCTACATACTTCATCTGTAAAAGACATGCATGTTTTGGAATATTTGGTTTTCATTTCTCCTTTCCAATAATACCCATTTTTATTCATGTGAATACCTCTTCCTCACTGAATATAGTCTTATGGGGATACTGTAATCAGAGATGCCCCTTACTCCTAATAAGGAAGTGACCTCATGAATCAATCTAGGCTAATTGGATGTTCCCTCTCTGATACTTCAAACACGATCAGAGAATCAAAGAGGCTAACAGTGGTAGAGTTCTATTCCATTTGATCGAGCATGATCACACTAGAGTTACGTTACAAAGCTATTGGAAATGTTTGTGCTTCTAGGCCTGCAGAACTGCTTTGCTTCAGTCCCATTTCCATGCCTGATTCTTGGGTATCTCCTGGATTGTATAGAGCCTTAATGTCTTTCCAGCAAATTAATTTTTGCTTAATTTAGCCCAAATTTTTTTTGCTCAAAATCACAAAGTCCACAATGATATACAATCTCACTTAGCACTAACACAATTCTAAGATGTTGCCATTATAACCATTTCTCAGAGGAGAAAGGTTTAGCAAAGAATGGTTAAATGACATGCATACACGCAGCTAGTAATGGATACAGCCAGGACTCAAGCAAGGTGAGTTCGACCCAGAGTTTCAAATTTTTAACCTACATTATCCCAATTCCTATCTTTAATTCTCAAACTACTTTCCCAAAGATCATTGATGTGCCACATGCTGTTCCAAGGATTTTCATTGCTGAAATTGAATAATGGCAGTCTTGCCAATTTAGAGAAAATAATAACTTAATGGATAGAATGTTTTCAATTTTAAATTTTTCTCCCATAAATTTTTCTAAAAGCTTTGGTGCTTTCTACTGCTTGTCTGTGAGGCAGACAACAAAACAAATGAACAAGCAGCCAATGAATATTAATGGCAAAACTCAGAAACAACAGATCGTGCTTCTCTCAAGAGCTTGTTTTTTGCATGCACATGTGTTGTGATTTCACGTTGCATACCTATAATATAGTCATTTTCTGCTAGTAAAATTGTTCCTAGTTCAAATGCTGGAATTAAATACATCCATATTTCATGTGTTATGCAAAGAATACTATGATTTTCAAGCTGTCTACCATCTCGTAAAGTTTAAGAAAAATAGTCTCAAATAAGCTAGAGACAATAGCGGCAAAACATCTTGGATGGTATTGCTTATATCACCTTTAGGAAACTCAGACCTTTATCTAAATCCAAAGTCATCAGATTTTTAGGATAAGGACCTTGGCACTTGCTGGATTCTACAAGAATAATGTTATTTGCTAGCCTAACTGCAAGACCCAGAATTCGTTTAAGGGGCTTGACATTTTATTTTAATTCTTGGCCTGGACACCAAGTAAAATGCCTCGGGCCTTGAGAAAGGCCAGTGTATGGTGTATTTATTGGCTGTGACTACAAATCTGGTTAACTTGATGGGAATGTATAAAAAATGAATAAAGCAATGCCAGATTTTGCTTTTGGCCATAGATGCATCAGGTTAATGAGACACAGGAGAGTATCTTGGTCTTAAGTCAGAATAGTGGCCCAGGCACAGTCAGGGATTGAGGATTCCTATAATGGGAATGGAAATCAGACCCCTTGACCTTTTTTCCCAGCTTATCGTATAGTAAGATTGCTACCATTTCCCATTTCACCTTGTTTTTCCCCTTAAGATATTTCTCTTCCAAATTTTATACTGCTTCTGAAATTTCCTAAGAAGCCAGACCAAATCTATCTATCTATCTATCTATCTATCTATCTATCTATCTATCTATCTATCCATCATCTATCTTTCTATTTAAACATATATATTTAAAACCTACTTTGGGTCAGAAGTGGTGGAAGGGACAAAGGTATGCCAGTGATCCTGCCTACACAGAGCTTATTTTCCAGCAAAATAAAAAAAATCCTGATCTGCCAGAAGAGGAACTGATGATCTACCACCCTCCCCATTCTCAATATAAAACTTTTACCATATTTGGTTGTGCTCATGTGCTTTCTTTAGAATACTAGATAGAATATTGTAAATATTGTGTTAGTCTGCTTACTCTCTGTACTAATTTTAATCAACTCTGCATTGGTATTGCCTTTCCAGGAAGTCTCAGACTGAAATCTCCTAGATTGTAACAGATTGGATCACATTGATTTAGATGAAGAAAAGGTTCAAATAAATATACAGGAAAGTGAGGCCCCAGGGAGGAGTCCAGGTACCATGCTCCCTCTGTAGTCATTCCTTTAAAGAGGCAAAACTGGTTTTCATCTTTCCTTTCATGAAGCTGTATTGATTTCCATATGGCTTGAATGTTCCTCTATTTTCCAGACTGATACCACCCACAGAGTTTAAAATTTACTTCTTTGACATCTAGAGATGGCAAGGGAGCCTTTCCATCCCTCATTGCTGATCTTTATTACCACATGTCACCAGGCAGTGCACTGGGCTCATTTTGTTTACTTCCATCAGCCATTTATATTGAGATGTAATCCTGGATCCTAAAAAGAGGAGCACTTTATGTCCCAAGTGAGCGATTCACACTAAACGCTATGTTGACATATTCTATGGGATGTAAAAATCTCAGTTCCAGTGATTTCAGCTCCATCAGCATAATTTTCCTCCACATGGTACAGGTAAATCATGGTTAAATATTGAATCATTTATCAACCAGTGCTTCGTAAGCCAGATCTCATAAAATCTCAGGAATAGATTGTGCTAACAAAGCAGCTAGCAACCAACTATGATTATCAAAATTTTCCTTCCACAATCTGTTCCTCATTTAGAGAGAAAGTGCTAAGGAAATTAAAAATTAGTAAGCTTTACCCCTTTATTGGTAACAATATACAAAGTACTATGATTTTCTTTAGAATAATAGTCTTATCTGGAGACTTTATAATAAAGGAGGAAATTTGGAATCTCTGGCTCTTCTGGAAGATGGATTATAGTTCTCTGTGAAAATGTATTTCAGAAAGTCTATACCCATCTTGAGTTCCCTCAGTGCTTAGGCTTAAATCCACAGGGCTAGCACATTGCATAAAAAAAACTTTATGATTAGATGAAGGGGTTCAGTTACAACCAGGGAAGTCAACGTTTACGTATTCTAGGAAGGGAAAATAGTGCCTGGGTAAAGATGTTTCATCTGCAATCAAACCTTATTTACTTCTAAAATGGTATTACCAATTGCTTTGCTAGGAAATGAGATAAAATCAAGAAAGCATTTTCTAAAGGCCTTCAATTTGACTTGTGTGTTCCATGGTTCTATATATTTACAAACAGGGGCACACAGAGAGTAGTTAAAGAACAAAGGAGATAATAGTTTCCCACCTTAGACTCCCCTGTCCATACTTGAGCACCACACACCTGATTATGAAAAGGAAGACCGTAAACTTCTATCTATAGAGAGCACAGAAAATGATAAGCAGAGATGACCTCAGACGGAAATTGAAAAGAGCCTGGATATGTAAATGGTTTGATATGATTTTAAAAGATGAGATTAAGGAGCTTTAATTCCTCTCACTCTGAACATTCTTCTCTTAGAAATGAAAAATTAAATACTGTTTGTGCAAAGCAGTAATTTTTTCTATTTCAAAACATTGAGGTCATTGTTATTTCAATAAATGGTGACCCAAGAAACAAGGTGGAATAAACAATTCTCTCATTTAGAATGCAGAATGCACAAACTTACCCATCCTTGAATTTGGGGATTGTTTTAGGAATAAAACAACCTATCTCTATACCCCTGAAATAAAATGTTTGCTCTTAGGCTGTCCAAGGGCAGTATGGCAAACCCTAAGCTCTGTTCCAGGGTAAAACAAGCTCTAAGCAGTCTAGGAGGTAAGTGTTCATTTGTCATAAAAGGAATTTGACTACAGGCAGGACAGGCCGACAGAAGTAATGTGGGAATACAAGTAGACCCAGAGGTCAGGCTTAAGCCAGAGGCAACACATGGGAGTGCAGCCATTAATCTGTTATCTTTGGCAAGTTAGGCAGAGATGGGAGTCTAGAAAGTAGGTTCCCCAAGGAGGTAATTAATTTGAGCCACAGAAAGAAAACATAAGTAGGGAGGAAACACCAGAGTATTTCTCTTAGCAAGAATGAGGGAAGCAAATCACAATGTTCCCAGTAGGCTGGAAATCTGCACTGGGTAAAATAAGAAGATAGAGGGAAGGGCAAGAAACTGCCTCTGGGGAACCAAGCTCCCCAGATGATTTGGTGGTTTGGCACATGAACCTATTTTTTTGAGAACAAGGAGAACCCAATGACTAGGTTCTTGGCACATCAGAAGCCACCTGCTGCCAACCCTATGAGCAACTGAGGAAAGGTGCCTCACGCCACCTTCCTAAAGCCAGAATTTGTGTCAGATTGTAGGGCAACCTAGAACCTACAGGGAAAAATTAGTAAAGGGAGACTTAGCAATCAGGGTTAAAGAGATAAGGTTTTTGGAAATCTAGAAGGGAAATACAGTACTTCCTCATTTATCCAGGTCAGGAACCAGGCAGACACAGTGGCAGGAGCCCTGGCATTAGCACCCTATGCCTTAGTGTGAATGTCACCTCTTTCTCTGGCCAGTATGCACTGTAGTTAGAAATGCAGGGTGCTAAACCCCAGTATATGAGTTGAAGCCCAGCTCCATTGTACTGAGTAAATTTCACAATCTCTTGTTTCTTCATCTATAGAATTGTCAAATATTGTAGTACTTTTCTAACAGCTGTTAGGAGGATTAGGTGATTGCATACATGTAAACACATCCACCTGTGTCAGAACCTACTAAGTACACAATAAACATTAACCATTAGTTTTATGAGGCATTGAGAAAGGTACTTAGCTTCTTTGAATTTTCATTCTTCTTATCTGAAAACAGGCACAATAACATCCATGTCATAAAGTGGTTAAAATATTTAAATGAGGTAAGGTATAGGAAAGTACATGTTTGGGCCGGGCGCGGTGGCTCACACATGTAATCCCAGCACTTTGGGAGGCCAAGGCGGGCGGATCACAAGGTCAGGAGATCAAGACCATCCTGGCTAACACGGTGAAACCCCATCTCTACTGAAAAAAAACGAAAAAACTTAGCTGGGCGTGGTGGCAGGCACCTGTAGTCCCAGCTACTCGGGAGGCTGAGGCAGGAGAATGGCATGAACCCGGGAGGTGGAGCTTGCAGTGAGCCGAGATCATGCCACTGCACTCTAGCCTGGGCAACAGAGTGAGACAAAAAAAAAAAAAAAAAAAGAAAGTACATGTTTGGCACAGAATAAAGGTGTCAGTTAAGAATGCCTTTGTATCCCAGTAGTAAAAAACACTATTAACAATAACTTAAACTTATAAAGGGTTTATTTTTGTCACAAAGCAAGTACTCCAGAGTTTGGATGATGTTTATATTTAGTCAGAGGCTTCATGATGTGTGAGTGCACAGTCAGCAACTCTGAGATCACTTTGACTATCACAATCCTTGTATAAGACAGAGGCTGGGCACAGTGGCTCACACCTGTAAACCCAGCACTTTGGGAGGCTGAGGTGGGTGGATCACAAGGCCAAGAGATCAAGACCATGCTGGCCAACATGGTGAAACCCCATCTCTACTAAAAATACAAAAATTAGGTGGGTGTGGTGGTGCGCACCTGTAGTCCCAGCTTCTTGGGAGGCTGAGGCAGGAGAATCACTTGAACCCGGGAGGCGGAGGTTGCAGTGATCCGAGATTGTGCCACTGCACTCCAGCCTGGTGACAGAAGGAGACTCTGTCTCAAAAAAAAAAAAAAAAAAAAGACAGAAAGAAGAGGGGATGCTGTGAGCTACATGCTATGCAAACATATATTCACGAATAGGATTACCAGATAAAAGACAGGGCATTCAGTTAAATTTGAATTTTAGATAAACAATGAAGGCATTTTTAGAATACATATTTTGTAAGCAATATTTGGGAAATACTTATACTAAATATTCATGGCTTATCTGAAATTCAAATTTAATAGGGTGTTCTGTTTTTTCTGCTAAATCTGGTAGCCATGTACCAGGAGATCCTAGCAGATTGCTTCTTACACTGTAACCTTTGTCTGCAAAGGAGGTTGGAAAACTATTTGATTTTTTTTAGCCTTTTTAGTTGTCAAAGGACAAAGGGATAGGCAATAACAGCTAGACCAGTCAACTAATAACGGTGCCTTGCTTAGTAGATGCTCAATATTCATTTCCTCCACTGTCCCTCTTCTCAAGGTTTGATTGTCCCTTTACACAGAGGCAAGTACATATAAGCCTTACTACCTTAAAGTGTTACATAATTAATGCCAACATATAAAATTAGCAATTTCATATTTTAAAAAAGGGAACTGAAGCTTAATTGGCAAATCCAGGGGTTAACTAAATAAAACTTACAGGTTACATCCATTTGGTTATATCGATGCTAACAGGCGTCCCTGGCCCATGGGGCAAATTTCTTTTCCATATTTAAAAGCAGAGTTGAGACTTAAGTGAGGCAAGTGAGATACCTAGGAAGCAAAAAGTAGGAAGATACTCCATTTCACTCACTCACTCTTACAGGATCTCCTTCAGTTATGCACCCTAAGCATCTCCCTTGTCTCACCATAGCCCCAGCCTTGCATGTGTTACTGAAACACTAGGGGTTCAGTCTAGGTCCTGCTGCTTGCAGCACAGGAAGCCAATCAGTGATGACAAGTTATCGCCAAGGAAGAAGGCTTTTCTCAGGTGCTGCAGACAAGGAGATGGGAGTTCAGTCTCAAATCCATCTCCCCGACTGACTAAAACTAGGGCTTTAATTAGCAGGGAAGAAATGTAACGACATGTAAGAAAACAGGAACCAGGGAGGGCAAGGAAGCAATCATGATGAATGAGGGGTCCCCATCTCATTATCAGGATATGGTGATCTGGTGAGTTTTAGTTCTTTGATTCTTTCTTTGAGAGGCCCAAAGGTCCTTTCCTGAGGAAGGAACTCAGATAAAACAAATATGAGTTTCAAGCTTTAAGACCAGACAGGTCAATTTCTATGTTTATCAAAAAGAACCAGTCTGTGAGATTTTGGGGTTGGTTTCACATGGAAGTTTGCTATCTTTTTGCCTAAGCCAAAGGATGGCACACTAATGGTTGTTAGTTTCTAACTCCCAAATGTAGTCACAGACAAGGAGTGATTGACTGTCTGGCCTATTTCTGTAGGAAAAGCCTCAGATGACTTATGTGATCTAATTTATCTTAGTGAAGCTGGGAGAACCTCCATGCATGCTGGATGTATTCTTTACTCCCATTCTCTTTCCAGTGCACAGGAATATATATGGCTTTAACTCCTCAGAAGATAACTCTATGTCAGAATGTATTAGTACCCATCAAAGCACTATAACCTGGCCGCAACATCCCTTCAATTATAGACAGCCTCTTGCTTTTTACCAGACAAGGGTACAGGCTCCAGTTTCTGATATGATTTGACTCAATTTTCTTTATCTGCCTCAAGGCACTGTAAAATTATTACTTCTTTTATTTAAAAAAACAATCTTCGTTGTATTTCCCTTCTCTTTTCCCAACCTCCACTTCTGTCTTTCACAATTACTACCAATAAAGAGGCAGCAGGATTAACTGATAGCATATCATCCACCTGCATCCCAAGTCAGAGAAGAAATTTGAGGCAGAGAGCAACTATTTGGGATAGTACCAACCATCAAAGATGGCTTAGACAGAGGCATTCTGAGCTATAATAGAAACCATATAAGGATAATAAATCTAAGAAAGAAGCAATATGCTACTTTGGAAAAATATAGATGGGATTATAATTTTACATAGAGCAATATTATTTCAATAGAAGGAATGCATGCATCTATGTGAGACTAGACTGTGAGTCTTTAGAAGAAAATTTATATTCATGTGGTGAGAGTGTTGCCTTATTCTGAAGAAATCTAGCAAGAGCAATTTCTGGTGGAGGACCAAGCTTAGGTTGAAAGAAACACTATCTTTCTCATATGTCCCATGAGAAAAAAAAACTCACTCACATCCTTCCGTTTTGAGACCAGAAAAACCCCAGGAAGAAAACAATCCCACCTCCTACCATTAACATCAGGGTGAAGACTACAGTCAGTGGATATTAGCAAAAGCTTCTAGAAGGGTTTATTAGAAGAAAACAAGTAGGACTGGGAAGGGTTGGCAGTTAGAGAAAAGGGTTTATCCATGTGGGGCACCTCCCAAAGGCATGGCCTGGAGGGTCCTGGTTCCTTGTGTGGCACGAGGGAACTGGTTAGCTGAATCAAGTTGCAGCTAAAAATCCTCTGACTCAACTTCCTTGGAACACTTAAAGCTTTCATGAGTAGCTCAGATTAATCCTGATTGGAGTCTTCATGTATTTAATTCTCATATGCTGTGTAAGGTGGTACTCTAAAAGGGGCATGTTCTGCTTCCTTGTCGTCATGCCCACCCTAGAAGGTGGCTTTAACAAGCAGGTGACTTTCCAGTGTGATAAACTGTAGACTTGTTTCACTGGCTTTCCCCACGAGCTTACACTTTCCTTAAAGAAGAACCAGATTCATTCTTGTGCAGGAAAGAAGGGAGGAGCCTGGCTACATGAATTTTTCTGCTAACTGAGACATGGGGGAAGGAGAAAGATTTTAGAGTGGTAGTGGAATGAGGAAAATACCCTGAAGGCCTTCAGATTAAAAACAGGAAACACAGTCTAACAGTACTTATAAGGTCAACTTTGATTGAGAGGCAGCAAACCAAGAGCTGAGAAAAAGCAAACATACACTTTGTTATTTGAGATCAAATGTTTTTGCCTTTCCTCTTTTAACATCTTCTCTTTCTGTCTTCTCAGCAAATAAACTAATGTTTGGAAGAGAAATAGATTTACAAACAAACCATCTTTCTATTTGTATACATGGTCATACAAAGGAAAGGTTTTTTTCCTTCATACACACAAAATCCTGCACAGAAAATGCATACAAATGATTGCAGCTGTCACTATCACAACTTAGAGAAAATGCAGATGGCATAAAATAATATTCACAAATGGCTAATAGAATTTTAATAGCTACAAGAAAGAAGAGAAAATGAAGGCGCTGAATCTACTTGGGATGTGAAGAGAATGAGATGGTCCCAGGAAGAGTCTAAAGGCAGAGCTATCCTTGATTTTCCTCATGTTTAGAAGTGGCATTCCCCGATGCATTGATTTATGTGAGGATTAGGCAGCAATCATAGTCCCTAGACTAGCCTGGAAGGCATGTGCATAAAGTATGATATTTGCAATATGCAAATGTCATGTATGATGAATGAAATGTTCAGTATGTCTCGAGGACACCCAGATGCTAACCAGCCACTGCTTCTGTGCTGCAAATGGGAAACGAACTTGGAGCAAAGTTATCTTTCTATAGCTAATTGATTTCTTTAACATGGTTTCTGAATCTAAATGTCAGTACTAAACCATAAGTCATTCTACCTATATTAGCTTTCTATGACTTTAGATATTTCTTAATGATAATAACAGTTAGAACTGGGGACTGAGCAATAGGAAGGTGGGTCAACCTACGTACATATAGCACATATAAGGCAAAGCCACAAGGGAATATGAGGATTTTACGAAGGAGTAGATGGCATTTTAAGTCCAAATAGTTTGAATGAAACTTGGGAGCTATTCTTCAGGTAAGGAAGTGGATAGGTCACGAATGTCCCGAGCCAAGTTCACAACTAAGTTCAATATTCAGGATGATTCTTAAAGAGGAACAATTACAGTAAAACATAGAGGTCCCATAAAGAAAAAAGACCAACATCTAGATGGTTTGGTAGTAAGCACCAAAAGAAGACAGCTCCTAGAGCAACAATCCATTCTCCAGGCAGAGATTATATCATTGCAGAAGAATAATGAAATCCAGTCAATGCAGACCTGGGAATTCAAAGTAAGGCCAGGAGCGATACTGGCTCAGGGCTGAACTAAGGGTAGCCTACACAGCAATGGATTTTTTTTTCTTTTCTTCTTCTAGAAGGAATCCCTAGGGTCTTTAGAATTTAAGAATGGGATGGTTCCAACTGTACAAAATAAAGACAATATACAGATACTGGCTGATCATCCACCTAGCACCCATGCCTGACACCTTGTAGAGGTTCAAAATGGTTTGCTGAATTATATATCTGAGTTCTTGTGGGTAAGAGTATGTTTCCTTTTACCAATTGTTGCCTTTAATGTTTCTATCTTTTCTTTACTAGAACTAAAGTGTTTAATTATAGAAGATTGCTTGAAACTGAATGCAGGAGTCTTGGTAAGTCAGAATGTTTCTGAAGCTTAGAAGTAACTAAGGAACTTTCTATAGAGCAATGGTGAAACCTCAAAGGGATTTGAGCCAGTAAATATGGTAGCAGTGACGACTCTAGAGCTACATTGCTCAATATGGTAGTCACTAGCAATATGTGCTGTTGTGACTTATCCAAATGGAGCTGTGCTTTAGGTAGCAATACACACACCAGATTTCAAAGACTTACTACAAAATAAAATAATTGTAAAATACCTTATTATTTTTATATTGATTGCATATTGAAATAATATTTTGGACATATTGGGCTAAACATAGTATTTGAATTAATATCTCCTGTTTCTTCTTACCTTTATTAATGCAGCTACTAGAACATTTAAAATCTTATATGTGACTTGCATTCCATTTCTATTAGACACTACTCTAGAGAGAAAAATCAGAATTTGGTGATTTATGCTGGTGTTCCTTCAAGTGTGGCCTATGGACCAGTATCAATCCACATACAGTTATTAATCAAAAAGGAGTTAAGTAAAGAAATTGAGAGAAAGGATCTAGAAACTTGTTATATCAGTTTGACATTGTCATGACATCCAAGTGTGTGATGTTTTATTTTCCATAAGTATCAGTTTATGACAAATTGGGAGAAAAACTCTTTTCTTTTTCACCAGAGATAGTTTAAGGAATATTGAGGATTTATCACAAGACAGCTTCAGTGGGTCAGAGGAAGCTGTCACATGCTTTAGAAACTTAGGGATCTTGGAAGCAGCTGTCAGAGGTTTGCTAAATGTGCTCCCAGAGGAAGCATGCTTCTGAGGCCACACGAAGGAGAAAATATGGAACAATTTTCCATCATTTTCAGAGAGTCCCAGGTATGGGTCTCTGTATGGAGTGCTAAGTTTATCGCTGGACTAGGGAAGCTGGAAAGGTATGGTTAATGAGGTTGAGGGGTATCATACTAAGAGAATTTAGGATCCAGATGGCTTTATACAAGTGAACATCTACTTTTCAAGGAAACATTTCAAAACTTCATCCTTCACAGGCCTACGGTGGGTGTAATTACTCATTGGTTCATCTATTCAATTAGCACTTATTGAGTAGTTACTATGTTCCAGGGACATTGCTGGGTTCTGGAGCTCCAAGGATAAGTGAGATATTGCAGCTGCCCACAAAAAGTACACAATGTAGTAGGGGGCACAGACACACACCCTGTATGACAACATATGATTTATGGGCTTGGCAGAATGACAAGTAAGATATGGTTACCATTAGCCAAAGGACTAAAGGAGCTCTCTGCTTGATCTTAGAAGGATAGGTAATGCTGCTGTCATAGGCAGCTCCTACTAGGAAAAGTCAGCAAGCAATTTAAGAAAAAGAACAATGGTTTCAGATTCACAGAAAACTGGGTTTGAATCCTGGTTTCTTTGCTTGTAGTTACATAGCCTTGGACCTCAGTTCCCATTTCTCTAAAGTGAAGATGGCTACGTCCACTCAAGGGATGCTGTACACATTAAATGAAATAATATAAGTTAAGCACCACGCACATTGTAAGCACTCAGTAAAGGTAAATGAGTGCATAAACTTGACATTCAACATTACTTGGGGCAAGATTTTTCTGAATTTTCTATAAGGCTGAAACTACAAGTAGGGCTAAGTGTGTCCTGCTCTGAAGATTGAAGAATCACAGGGTCAGGGTGTTACACAAACTACTGAAGAAACAATGGGCTGACATACTTTTAGGATAGACTCACGGGAAAGTTATTTCAGCTGAATGTCAGAAAAATTTAAAAAAGATTATTTTCTGTCACTGAGGGCCTTGAGTTGATGGTGACAGAGCTCAATACATACTACCCCCAAATGTGGCACCTTGATACATTGAGGTTTTTTTGTTTTGTTTTGTTTTTGACATGGAGTCTCTCTGTGTTGCCCAGGCTGGAGTGCAGTGGTGCAATCTCAGCTCACTGCAACCTCTGTCTCCCAGTTTCAAGAGATTCTCCTGCCTCAGCCTCCCAGGTAGCTGGGATTATAGGCATGCACCACCACACCCGGCTACTTTTTGTATTTTTAGTAGAGACGGGGTTTCACCATGTTGGCCAGGCTGGTCTCAAACTCCTGACCTCAAGTGATGCACCCACCTGGGTCTCCCAAAGTGCCAGGATTACAAGTGTGAGCTACTGCACCCAGCCCAATACACTGAGTATTTTAAGCTACAGGAAATTAAGAAAACTGCAGAAGCAGGAAGTTCTCTTTA
Source organism: Homo sapiens (assembly GCF_000001405.40). Classification (NCBI taxonomy): domain Eukaryota; kingdom Metazoa; phylum Chordata; class Mammalia; order Primates; family Hominidae; genus Homo; species Homo sapiens. The sequence goes on from NC_000001.11 coordinate 208,889,135, forward strand.
ACCTTTTCTCACTCTTCTCTCCTCGAGCAGGTCATAGACCCCATTGTGAGAGGTGCCCTCCCTATACCAGGAGGAAGGGGACAACCTTATCCTTGAAGGTAAAGTGTCACAGAGAAGCATCTGAACCAACAGGCCTGGCAAAGTTTCCCCAGTTTATTACCATTAGATCATACTCTGTCAATTATATTTTCCCATGACTGTCTACTCTCCATCAAATCTAGCATAAAAATACACAATTTTAACCATTTCTTCAATGCTTCATTTCATTATGAAGCCTCCTGTGTGGTGTAAAACTTATATTAAATACATATATATGTTTTTCCCCTGTTAATTTGTCTTTGTAGCTTTCCTTTCAGACCCAGCCAAAAACCCTAAGAAAATCAAGGAAATCTTTTCCTACCCTGCAAGATCTATGAGAAGTTACTAGTCCCCAAGGCCAGATCACCAGCATGTCCCAGAATTACATGTAAGTTGCAAAGACCATTGTTCATTACAACCCACAATAATAGATGAAGTGGCCAGGCATGGTGGCTCACACCTGTAATCCCAGCACTTTGGGAAGCTGAGGCAGGCGGATTATGAAGTCAGGAGTTTGAGACCAGCCTGACAACATGGTGAAACCCCGTCTCTTCTAAAAATACAAAAAATTAGCTGGGCGTGGTGGCATACACCTGTAATCCCAGCTACTCAGGAGGCTGAGGCAAGATAATCACTTGAACCCAGGAAGCGGAGGTTGCAGTGAGCTCAGATTGCACCACTGCACTCCAGCCTGGGTGACGGAGCGAGACTAAGTCTCAAAAAAAATAAAAAAATAAAAAATAATAATAGATGAAGTGAGATAGTGGATGTGCAAAGTGCTCAGGAAGCGAAAAGGGCTAGTCAAGTAAGGTGTTATTATTATTAACAAGAGCTGTCTATCTGAAAAGTCTTGGGCTGGGAAAAATGGTCAACATGTAAGTTCGAAGAGTTTGTTTTACACACAACCAAACAAATGGTGGTCTCTCCTTGAAGAAGCTGGCATCTCATTAGTTGTGGAACCCTGTTCCCTAGCTCTGGGAGCCGATCCAGGTCTAGAGTGGACAGTTTTCAGTCCTGGCAGAAGAGCCAGCTGACTCAAGGTAACATCAGTCATTTAGTGGCACAGACAGAAAGTGGAGGAAATGAAATGCTCCTTTGCATCAATAGCTCCCGGTTAAACAAAAACAAAATAAAGTACCTTTGCATTTTTCTTGTAGTGCTGTGCAGTTAGCTGGGAGGTCATATTCAATCCCATTGACAACATCTTTAAAAAACACACTATTATGGATGACCACGTCTTTATGCAAATGTGGTGACAGTCTCTCCAAAGCTCTAATTGATGTGTATTCTATGTGTGTGTCAGTGTGTGTGTGTGTGTGTGTGTGTGTGTACAATCAACCATACCTGATGTAACACTGTAACCAAAATGATTTTGCTTTAATTTGATACAATTACTGTTAACTGGACCTAAAAAATTAACATGAGAAAACCATATTATTTGACTTTGCTCTGTCACTAGAGAGCTCAAATAAGAAGGATGCCTCTGCAGCTTCACACTGGCATCCTCAGTATTACCTGATTCAACTCTCTTGACTAATATTAATGATACATACCACATAAAGGGTTTTTTAAATCTCCCCAAATGGTTCATTCAATCAATCCCAAATTTGATTAACTTTTGATTTTTCACTAAATTAACCGAATTTACCTAACAGTAGTGGAACCATGTATATGTAGACTCCTCCTTGCTGGTGTGAGTGTAGACATGTGTATGTATCTGTGAGAAAGGGACAGGATTAAGTTGGTATTCTGGCAGACACTGGGCTTTGTTATTTGGATATTGAAAATCATAACCCAAAGAGAAAAGTACAGAGTTTAAAGATATTTTGATGAGAAAGAATCAGATATAGACATGACCGTAAAATGTTTTCTGGGAAAATTATACAGAAAGCAGAGTATTCTTTTGGAATAAGCTTTGAGTGACCAATATGAATATAATGCAGACCAGGTGAGATGGCTTGCCTGACAACTCCACACCAGGTAAGCAGATCTGGGAGAACTAGGTTAGGTTAGGGGAGGACTGGGTTTTATATCGTATTGTATTGTGTTGATTAGTTTACTTATTTCGGGAGGTCTAAAGTGGGGCTCATGCATCCACATTTTTAAAGAGCTCCCTAGGTGATTCTAAAGCACACCAAAAAATAGAAAATCTTGCACACAAATACACACACAACGCACATATATTCACCATTATAAAAATATCATTGCATTAGAAAAAAAATTTAGAGAAAAGTCATAAAATTACCTATAATTTGACTATCCTAACTCAACCTCTTAGAGCATTTTGAGATACTAATTCCAGATTTTTGTTTTCCATATGTATGTGATTTGTTGCTATTTTATAAACAAACATATAGCCATATGATTACCATCTACTAGATTTTTTTTTTTTTTTTTTTGAGATGTAGTCTTGCTCTGTCACCAGGCTGGAGTGCAGTAGTGCAATCTTGGCTCACTGCCACCTCTGCCTCCCAGGTTCTAGCAATTCTCCTGCCTCACCCTCCCGAGTACCTGGGACTACAGGCACATGCCACCACTCCCAGCTAATTTTTTGTATTTTAGTAGAGATGGGGTTTCACCCATGTTGCCCAGGCTGGTCTCAAACTCCTGAGCTCAGGCAATCCACCCACCTCGGCCTCTCAAAGTGCTAGGATTACAGGCCTGAGCCACTGCGCCTGGCCACCATCTACTAGATTTCAAATGAAACTTGAGGTGGAGTTTTTAGTAACTTCCTTTGTGAGGCTCTTCCCTGTTGAATACATCTGCCAGTCAGAAGCATCTATCTCTTCTCTTGACACTTGTGGCCAAATCACCCTTTGGATTAAATCTGAGATTAAGCTCAGGATGCCTGACTACCTTTGTATTAATTCAGCTTTTCTCCTGGTGAGAGTGCCACCCCTTTATCAGAAAGGCTTGAACTTAAAAGTAGCAACATGGGGGAGGGGGCGGAGATCTTAACCTGGATTTATCCATATTTTCCACTGCAATTCTATGTTTATACATACGAGGAGATATCAAAGCACTGCTTGGAATCTCTTGCCTCCCAGGAGTTCATAAATCTCTCCCTTTCACTTACACTGCAGGGATATTAAACACATTATTCTGTTTTGATTGAACGCCAGTAAAATTAAATTTCATCTTTCCATCTGTGGCACCATGCGGGGCCCATTGCTTTATGGAAAAGGGGAGAGTGGCAATGGTGGAGGGATCTCTTCAGGACGCACAGGAGCATGCCACTTTTTGCTAGACAAAATGAATTTTTCTCTTCCATGGCACAAATCTCAACATCTGCTCTGTCTTTACCTCCCAGACACCCTGACAGGTGTAGCCGTCTTTAAAACATTGCTAGGAAGCAACATATGGACAGTCAACAGTGTATAAAGGATAAACACACACAGGGTGGGGGCAGGGCTATGTTTCTGATCTTTCAGCCTTATTATTATTTCTTAATCTGGCTTTAATTTCTCCAGGCTTTCCTGGGTGTCCATCTTTCACCAACCCATCAAAATGTTTGGCACAGAATTGTGATTTTCACCCTTGGCTTTTCCAGCTGTTTCTCACCATTTAGCTACATCCCTGTCTCTTCCCCACCCCCAGGGAGAGGAAAGTTAAATGATGTTAATCTGCCAAATATTTCTAATCATTAGGAAGCCATGAAAATTAACATAACCATCAGAGGAAATTAATTGCCAAAGAAGACAAGGTTAGAACTGGAGAGTGAGGACTGGGGAGAGGAGGCAGGCAGAAGGGCACTTTGTTTCTCCTTTGTGGTTTTGACAGAGGGGTTACAGCTGGAGGACGGGAGGAGGCTAAGCACAGAGCTGCTTCCTACTCTTAATTATGAGAACAGCCCCAGAATTTCAAGTGGTGCCAGTGGTGAAAGACTAGCAGAGGGATTCCCTCGATTCCTTTCTCTTTTTCCTCTCCCTGCTCCACTGGGGGAGATTTCTGGTTATTTTTTAATTCCAGTTCAAAATAGAGGTTGGGGGAAAAGAAGCCCACACAGGCCTCCTGCAGGAAATACCATTAATAATTAATACCCAATAATAATCAAATCCATGGGAGACTCATTACAAGTAAAGTCTTGACAGACTCACCGATGGATGCCCTTAGCTTTGCTTCTTCATCAGCTTGCAGGATTTGTTCAGCAGGGATTTGAGCACACATAAGCAATGACAAAAAAAAAGGATAAATAGCAGGTTTGTTCACTGAAGAGGCTTATTCATCCCTATAGGATTTTTTTCATTTTAGGTTTATGGCTTGGTGGGGAATTTCTCTTTAATTGGGATTGTAATATAACGATGGAACCTGTCGACATTTACAAGAGAGATGGGAGGGCAATTCTTCCTAACTTGTTTGTTGTTATTATTACAACACTGGCTCCTTTAGGAGATTCTGTATAAAGGAAGCAGACAATCAGGCTGATTAGAGACAAAGCAGCCAGTAAGAGAAGAAAGAGAAGAGAGACTACGAGCCACAGGATTGATCTGGGGCTAGCAACTGCTTGGAAGTCAGGCTATTCAGAGAGCACTTTGCACATGGAATGTGTGCTTTAATCTTCACACTAAGGTCAGTGTTACAGCCCCATTTTCTAGATGAGGAAACTGAGGAAAAGGGAAGTTAGGTAATTTCCCCCAACATTTCAATTCATAAATGGCAGTGTTGGGATTCTATCCCTGGAAGCTGGCTGAGAAGTCAGCTCTGATTTGCTACTCTTTTCTGGCTTTTTGAGATGTGAAAAAATGACTCTCTCCAAAGTCAGGTGTACAATGTGGGAAGAGAAGCTCTTTTCTGAGCCTGGCTTTCCTAAGGGCAGAATTTTCTAGTGATTCTACCCTATGTTCTGTAAAGTATATGAAAATATTAAGGCCTCTTTCTTAACACGCTCACAGAGAAAGCAGGTGGAGTCATGGCAAGAAATCAGATTTCACTCAGATGGTTCAGCCAAAGGGAATTTAATGTAGAGATTGTTTACAGAGGTGTGGGTATGGCTAAGGCAGCCTAGTGCGGACTTAAGGAACCCAGAAACAAGCAACAGCAGCCGTTACCTCCAACACCGAATTCTAGGACAAAGGTCCAACCCTCAACTCACTGGAAACCATAGAGCACTTCCATAACCTTTAACCAAAACTTCAGCCAAACCAGGCTGGGTAGATATTTAAAGGACCTCCTCAGTTTGGAATTTTGTTTATTTAATTAAGAAAAAATTTTGGGCCAGGCGTGGTGGCTCACGCCTGTAATCCCAGCATTTTGCAAGGCCGAGGCGGGCGGATCACGAGATCAGGACATTGAGACCATCTTGGTCAACATGGTGAAACCCCGTCCCTACTAAAATGCAAAAAATTAGCCAGGCGTGGTGGCACGCACCTGTAGTCCCAGCTACTTGGGAGGCTGAGGTGGGGGAATTGCTTGAACCCGGGAGGTGGAGGTTGCAGTGAGCCGAGATCATGCCACTGCACTCCAGCCTGGCAACAGAGTGAGACTCCATCTCAAAAAAAAAAAAAAAAAAAAAAAAAAAGAAAAAGAAAAGAGAAGAAAGAAAGAAAACATTTGGAATGGACAAAAAATACAAAAATAATAAAATAAACCCAATAAACACAATATCAAAATTTGTCAAACGCTAGCCTAGTCATTTCACATTTCTTATTTTCAAAAAAATTTAAAGCTACAGTGTAACTAAAGTCTTCCCACCCTCCTTCTCTTCCTCTTCATTCTCACTTATCTTCCCTCTCATCATGAGTGATTGCTATTCTGGATTTGGTGACATCTCATTAGCATACTTTCATATTTTTACTACATATTGATATATCTGTAATCGATAGATATTGCTTTGTATAATTTAAATGCATATAAATTGCATTTGTAACTACAGTTTACATATAAAATGTATTTGTAAACAACTTGCTTTTTTTCATTTAACATATTTTTAAGTTAATTCCTATTGCTATAGACACATCAAATTTATTATCTGCCTGGTATTCCATTGTATGACTAAACTATAGTTATCCCTTTTTTCTTGATAATATTCAAGCTGTTTTCAATTTTTCTGTTGAAAACAATGCTGGAATAAGCATTTGTGTACATATCTACATGAGAACATAATGCAGGAAATTGTCTAGAAGTGGATTCACTGGGTTATAAAGCATTCCTATCCTTGATTATGCTGATAATGCCAGACTGCCTTCCACAGTGCCAATTTTATAGTCACCATCACTGAATGATAATTTGCATTCTTCATATTCTGGCTTTAATTTACACCTTCTGGTTCTAATTTATATTTCCTTTATTCCAAATGAAATTGAACTCAAACTTTTCATGTGTTTACGAGACATTCATGTTTCTGCTCTTATGTGTCTGTTTAAATATATATTCTATCTTTTTCTTCAATTGTCTTTATCTTACTCTTTAAAGGAGTGTTTTATATATTCTGGTCACTAATTTTTATGTATATGACAAATACTTATCTTTTAATTTTTGAATGTTGAATGTCTTCAATGTATAGTTTTTTTTTCTATTATTTTACTTTAAATTTTTTTATATTTTTCTGTTTAAAATGAGGGTCTTACACATAGCACTTCATTATGTGTTAACAATTTCTGCCTTTCAATTTGACCTTAGACAATTTACATTTAATGTAATTATTCATATGGTTAACCATTAAATCTACTATCTTATGATTTGTTTTCTAGTTGAGCTGTATCCATTTTTTGTTGTTTTCTATCTGCTTTTAGATCTTCATCTACAAAATTGTTTGTTAGTTTCTTTTTTTGTTTTTCTTTCATTTTCATCTTTATTATTGGCTTATTAGCTAAAACCTTTTGTTTCAGTGGTTGCTGTAGGGTTTACAGTGTTTACTTTTTATATACTATAGTCGACCTTCAAAAAATATTATACTGCTTCTTGCATAATGTATGAACCTTACAAATGAATGCATCATTTCTTCCTTCTATACTTTGCTGTATAGTTGTCATATATTTTACTTTTATATATGCTATAAACTCTACAATATATTATTGGTGTTTTTGCTTTAAATAGTAAATTATCTTTTTTAAAAAATAAACTTTTTATTTTGGAATAACTTTAGATTTGCAAGAAAGTTGCAATGAAACAGATTTCTCACATATACTTTACCAATTTCTCCTAATGTTAACATCTCACACAATTATAGTACATTTGTCAAAACTAACAACTAACATTGATACACTACTCTTAACTAAATATAGATCTTATTCAAATTATTAAAGTTTCCACTAATGTGCCTTTTCGAAAAAGACAATTATCTTTTTAATTTTTTTAGATAATTGAAGATTCACTTGCATTTTTAAGAAATAATAAAGAGACATCCTATGTATCCTTTACTCAGCTTCCTTCAGTGGTAACATCTTGTGATACTATAGTACAATATCACAGTGATGATATCGATAGGATCAAGAGACAAAACATTTTCATCATCACAGTGATCCCTCACGTTGCCCTTTTATACCTACTCCTGCTTTTCTCTCACCTCCCTTGTCTTCCCTCCTCCCTAATTCCTCGTCTTTTATTCTGGCAACCACTAATGTGTTCTCCATTTCCAAAATGTGTTATTTCAAGGTTGTTATGTAAGTGAAATCATAAAATAGACAATCTTCTGAAATTGGTTTTCTCCACTAAGTATAATTCTTTGGAGACTTATTCAATTTGCTCCATATACAATATTTTGTAATTTGTTCCTTTTTATTGCTGAGTAGTAGTCTATGGTATGAATGGATGTACCACAGTTTGTTTAATTATTCATTTGTCAAGAGACATCTGGATTGTTTCCAGTCTTGTGATCTTATGAATGAGGCTACTATAAACATCCCTGTACAGGTTTTTATGTGAATATATGTTTTCATTTCTATGAAATAAGTCAACTAATTGCTGGGATATATGGAAATTACATGTTTAATTTTTAAAGAAACTGACAAACTTTTTTTCAGAGTGGCTGTGCCATTTTACACTCCCACCAGCAATGTGTGAGTGATCCAGTCTCTCTATCTCCTCACTGTCACTATTTTTTAATCTTGCCATTTTGATTTTTGTGTTGCAATATCTCATTGTGGTTTTAATTTGCATTTCCCTAATGCATAGTGATAATGAACATCTTTTTATGTGCTTATTTGCCATCCATACATTCTTTTCAGTGAAATGTCTTCATGTCTTTTACCCATTTTCTAACTGGATTATTTGGGTTTTTTTTTTTTTTTTTTTTTTTTTTTTTTACTGTTGAGTTTTGAGAGTATTTTCTACATACTAGGTATTAGCCTTTTGATGGCTATATGCTTTGGAAATATTTTCTTCCCATCTATACCTCCTCTTTTCATCCTCTTAAAAGTATCTTCTGCAGAGTAAAAGTTTGTAATTTTGAAGAAGTATAGTTTTTTTTTCTTTTGTAAACTGTGGTTTGGTGTTAAGTCTAAAATATTTTTGCCTAGCTCTAGATCTCAAATATTTTCTCCTATATTTATTTCTGAAAGTTTTATAGTCTTATAACCACTTTTAAGTCTGTGATATATTGAGCTAATTTTTGTAAAAGGTGTGAGGTTCAGGTCAAGGTCATTTTTTGTGTATATCCAATTTCCCAGCACTATTTGTTGAAAGGACTATCTTCTACCATTAAATTGCTTTTGCACTTTGTCAAAAGTTTGTTGGTTACATTTGTCTATTTTGGAGTTTTCTATTCTGTTCCATTGATTTATGCACCTATACCTCTGTCATACTCTCTTGCTTACTTTAACCTGAAGTCAGTTTCATCTTGCCTTAGTTTTCATTTACAAAATTTTTTAGTTTCTTTTTTTGTTTTTTTCTTTGTGTCTGTTTTTATCCTTCCATTTACATTTTAGAATAATCTTGTCTATATCTATAAAGCATTCTTCCAGAATTTTGATAGGAATTATGTTAAACCTGTATATAAGTTTGGGGAAAATTGACATCTTTACTATGTTGTATCTTCCAACCCATGAACATGGTATGTCTTGCCATGTATTTAAATTTTGATGTCTTTCATCAGTAGTAATAATTTACAGCATATGAGTCCTGTATATGTTTTGTTTATACATTTGTATTTTTATTATGTTTACCTTGTATTCTATGACCTTATTATTAGTTCTAGGATTTTAAAAATAGATTCATTGGGATGTAGATATCATGTTATCTGCAAATAGGGACAGTTTTATTTCTTCCTTTCTAATATGTATGCCTTTTGCCTCTTTTTCTTTTTCTGCCTTTCTCTGTGTTACATGAACATTTTTTAGAATTAAATTTGGATTTCTCTATAGTGTCTTTTAGTTTGTCTAATTTTTAGCTTTTTTAGTGGCTGCTCCAGGTACTGTATTATATACAAATAACTTATCCCAATTTACTGGTGTTGACATTTTACCAATGCAAATAAGGTGTAGAAATCTTCTTTCTCTTCATGTTTTTTTATCTTCCCCCAATTATAATTGTCTTAAATAGTTCCTCTATACATATTTAAAATTACCTCAGACTGTTAAATTGTTGCTTGAATTGTTAAATAATATTTAGAAAACTAAATGGAAGAAAAATGTATTTGCCCATGTTTTTACTCTTTCTGTTATTCTTTTTTTCTTCCTAATGTTTTAAGATTCCTTCTTCTATCATTTTATTTCTATTTAGAAAACTTCCTTTATCATTCTCTTAGGGTAGGCCTACTGGTGAAACTTTATCTTAGTTTTCCTTCATCTGAGAATATTTTGATTTTCCCTTTCTTCTGGAAAGATATCTTTGCTGAATATAGAATTCTGACTTCACAGGTTTTTTTTTTTCTTTTAGCACTTGAAAATTGTGCAAATTCTTTCTGACCTCCATGGTTTCTGATGAGAGATCCACTATTATCCAAATTGCTTTTCCCTTAGAGGTAAAGTGTCACTTCTCTCTTGCTGCTTCCAATATTTTATTTCTTTGATTTTCAGAAGTTTGACTATCATATATCTGGGTTAGACTACTTTTCAGTTTATCTTGTTTGGAGTTCAGCCTGCTTCTTGAATCTGTCATTGTTGTTTTGCCAAATTTGTGAAGCATTCAGTCATTATTTCTTCTAGTCTCCTACTAATTTTTCAGCTCTGCTAAGTTTCTCTTCTCTTTTCAGGATTCTGATACCAAAGTTAGAGCATTTGTTACAGTCCCACAGTTCCCTGAAAATTTATTCACTATTTTCTTTCAGTGTATTTTCTCTGATATTCAGATAGGATAATGATAATTTCTACTATTTTATCTTCAAGTTCATTTTTTTCCTCTGTCCTTTCAATTCTGCTATTGAGTCCATCTATTAAGTTGTTTTTATTGCTATTATTTTGGCTATTTTATTTCTCAGGGTGCTGAGCAAGACAGCACCATGACCTCAATTATGTATTCAGAAGATCACTCTGGGTACTACAATGTGAAACAAAAATAGAAACAAGAAATGGTGACAGTTCAGACCTGGGTGGTAGCAGTAGAGATGGTATTAAGTGGTAGAGTTTAAGTTAAATGACAGCATTTTTGATGGATTGAAAATGTAGTATAGCAGGAAGGGAGGAATCAAGGATGATAACATCTAGATGCTTGGCCTGAGCAACTCATGAGTGGTGATGTAATTTTTTTAATATTGAGAGGAAGTGGGTGGGATTGAAAACTAGGAATCCAGTATACTCTATGGACAGCTTAATTTTAAGATGTTTACCAGGCTGGGCACAGTGGCTCAAGCCTGTAATCCCAGCACTTTGGGAGGCCGAGGTGGGCAGATCACGAGGTCAGGAGTTCGAGACCAGTCTGATATGGTGAAACCCCGTCTCTACTAAAAATACAAAAATTAGCTGAGCATGGTGGCGTGCACCTGTAATCCCAGCTACTCAGGAGGCTAAGGCAGGAGAATCGCTTGAACCTGGGAGGCGGAGGTTGCAGTGAGCCAAGATCACGCCATTGCACTCCAGCCTGGGCGACAGAGTGAGACTCTGACTCAAAAAAATAAATAAATAAATAAATACAATAAAAAGATGTTTAGCAGACATCCAAGTGAATATACTGAGAAGAGAGCTAAATGTATACAACCAAAGCACAGGAGAAGGTTAATTTTTGAGATTTTAAATACAGGACTCACCAGTATATGTCATGTTTCATCAAATCAAGGTCACCATTGATTCTAAGATATAGCCTTAAGGGAAAAAAAACTGCCAATTAAAGTATGGTTTAATTGTGCCTTAATGGTTTTTCATGGTACATTAATTGGTCATATCTATACATTGATTTGGTTATTTTTTCTACCATATTCGACAAATTCTCCTGCCTCTTTTTACATCAATAAGCATGTGGTAGGTAATTGTTTTGCATATATCTTAGTAACAAAATATAAAAAAGCCTCTTTTGATGATATCTTTTTTTCTTTGGATGCTTAAAGCACTTGATTGTTGTTTTGGAATAAAAAATTAAATTTCATCATTCCATATTCCTTCATATTTCCTGTTTCCATGTTTTCTGCATACATAATAATAATTTTTTCGGTGGGGGGGAATGGAGTCTCACTCTGTCACCCAGGCTGGAGTACGGTGGCATGATCTTCGCTCATTGCAACCTCCGCTTCCCGGGTTCAAGCAATTCTCCTGTCTCAGCCTCCCAAGTATCTGGGACTACAGGCATGCACCACCATGCCCAGCTAATTTTTGTATTTTAGTAGAGATGGGGTTTCACCATATTGGCCAGGCTGGTCTCGAACACCTGACCTCGAGATCCGCCTTTCTCAGCCTCCCAAAGTGCTGGGATTATAGGTATGAGCCACCGTGCCTGGCCACACAATAATAATCTTTAAATACCAAATCACAGTATTAGTTTTTAAATTTATTTTAAACACCATTAAAACCAACATGTATAGTACCATTTATCCATAAATCTCTACTGAAGTTAAGATAATATTAACAACAATGACCAAGTTCTTGCAATGCATTCAAAGAAAACTAAATCAAGACCACTGCCTGGATGACAACTATTTTTGGACGCATCCTGATTCAGAGATGTAAAAAGGTGAAACCATTTGTGTCTGAGATTGATGAAATGTGGCAAGTACTTCCACCATGAGAAACATTAAGAAGACATAGTAAAAGTGTCAAAAGAGTAGAGAAGACGTCTGAGGTCTGAATTCTGGGACGTTTTAGCAGAGAAGACTAAAACAGAGTATCCAATGAGGTAGGAGGGAAATTAGTGGAATGTAGTTCCTACCAAGACAAGAAATAAAGTATTTTGAGAAGGAAAGAATGATCTGCTATGTCAAATGCTATAGAGGAAATACAGAGGAGGACTAAAAATTGACCACTGGAATTGGAAACATGGTAATCTTTGGTGACCTCAACAAGTGCTGTTTCTTAAGCATGGTAGAGCGAGTAACTTGATTAAAATGGATTTAAAAGGGAATAGGAAATGAGAGAATAAAGGCAACCTTTCCCAGGCTGTTGTTTGTTTTTACTTTTTTGTTTGTTCTATTTTGTTTTGTTTTGTTTTGTTTTTGTTTATTTGTTTGAGACAGAGTCTCACTCTGTCACCCAGGCTGGAGTGCAGGGGCACAATCTTGGCTCACTGCAACCTCAGCCTCCCGAGTTCAAGTGATGCTCGTGCCTCAGCCTCCCAAGTAACTGGGACTACAGGTGTGTGCCACCACGCCTGGCTACTTTTTGTATTTTTAGTAGAGACAGGGTTTCACCATTTTGGCCAGGCTGGTTTTGAACTCCTGACCTCAGGTGATCCACCCACCTCGGCCTCCCAAAGTGCTGGGATTACAGGCATGAGCCACCATGCCTGGCCTTGTTTTGTTTTTATAAAAGGAAGCAGAAAAACATGGTCAGCAACTATAAGAAAACATAGGATTAAAAGATTTTATTTTAAATTGGGAGATTTTTTAGTATAGTTTTATGCCAGTAAGAATACTGGTAGAGAAAGAAAACCTGATCATGAAGGTAAAGAAAGAGCAACACCCCTTAGACATAAACAATAGAATATAGCATCATTCAGACCTCTGTGCTAGGCTCATGTTGTATAGTTATTGATAACTAAATCTTCTAGATCAAGAATCCTTTATGGCTCAGATTATGCTCCATTTACTTTTTTATTTCTCTCTCTCTCTTTTTTTTTTTTTTTTTGAGACAGGGTGTTGCTCTGTCACTCAGGCTAGAATGCAGTGGTGCAATCTTGGCTCACTACAGACTCAACCTCCCAGGCTCAAGCGATCCTCCTACCTTAGCCCCCCAAGTACCTGGGACTACATGCACGTGCCACCTTGCCTAGCTAATTTTTCTATTTTTTGTAGAAGTGGGGTTTCACCATGTTGCCCAGGCTGGTCTCAAACTCCTGAACTCAGGCAATCTGCCCACCTCAGCCTCCCAAAGTGTTGGGACTACAGGGGTGAGCCACTGCACCCAGCCTCCATTTACTTCTTAATATTGAGTTGAGGCAGAATAAAATGGTGTTCATTAGTGTGTACTAATTAGTGTAGGCCATCTGGATTTGGAACCTGAGTTCCAAAGACACTTGGGTACTTGGACACTTGCTAGATGGATTCCTGACCAAACTATATATTAGCTTTTCTATGCTGCACTTTCCTCATCCATAAAATGGGGATAATATTTCTTATGTGTTATGAAAATCAAAGTATAAATACATGTAAAGTGTTTAGAACAGTTATCTGACATGTTACAAATACACAATAATTGTTAGCAACAGTTACTGAGTATAGAACTTGGCATAGTATGTGCATTCATGAATGAATGAATGAATATTATTTTAAAATATCTTTATAGGTTAATTATTTCCTAGTATAGCTCTTTCTTGATTCCAGCCTTAAACTCTATTGTGCCTTCAGCTAAGGTTGTTCAAACCCCACCTGCAGACAGCCTCATGCCAGTCTCTTCAGACCAATTCTGACCTTAGAGAAGATTTCAGGGGCTGCTGGCTAATGTGTAGCTCTAACCTTGTGCCCCACATGTGCAAACTGACGTGGGCATCTGCCTTTTTTCTTGCGCTCAGGCCTCCTCCTTTCTTAGTCATCCTTGCCCCTCTACTTGTTTCTATGTCTGTCTCTCTCCTTCTTGACTCCATGGAATCTGGATTCGCCTTGCTGTGCTTCCTAGATTGTAAACTCTGCTTAGCTTCACTCATGACTTTGGAATGGGCATTAAGCTCCCAGGGGTCCCCTTGTAATTAATGTTCATAATGAGTGTAAATATGCTGCAGAGATTTGCAGCACAATATGCCACATGTGGATCTCATTGGGACCAAAAGATTGTAGCCCCAATTCTAAGGCCTTTAGGATATGGGAAATAGAGGCACATGAAGGGTTGTAAGAGGGCTAATAAGGCATGTGAGGATTAGGTAATTAACGGATCTAGTGCCATCCTGGGAAATTTTGTAAAAGGGTTTCTCACTAGTCCTGCTCCTCTGAAGGCAAATTTCTTAATGTAAGATAATTCTTCATTTCTTTCTAGTTCGTGGGGGGTTTCCCTCTTGGGGAACATCTAGGGAGAGTATAGCTTTAGTTTGCATTTTCTTCCACCTGTGGTCTGGATTATAATTAAAGCTTTATCAGCAAGGCGCCATGGAGTGAAGTGAAGTAATTATCTGGATAATCCACATTGAAGAGAAAGGAAATGTTCACGTCTTCGTTTAGATTATTCTACGTGGCTTTGTCTTTGTGAATCAGTCAATAAGGTAACCATGTGGAGGATAGAAAGCGCATAATAGAAATTCATTAAATATTTGCTGGATGGATAAATCTTTTATTCAAAATACTAATTATTATCAGTAGTTCTTAATAGTTCTGGCTTGCATTTAGGTTTTATACGTGCTCTCATCTCTTGGCTTGGCAAGTTAAGATACAGGAATAAGAAGATCGATTTCATTCCCCAAATATGCCTTAGTTCACTTAGCTGTGGAAGAGAATCTGGATTTTACTGGTTTATTGTAAAATATTTTTTTGTAATTTACCAGACAATGTTGCACCTTTTCTCTTTTCTTAACTTGAACAGTAGAAACCTGATACCACAACGGCCTTTGAATTTGGGGAGAAAAATCAATTGGTGAAACCATTGGTTTGCCTCTCTATAGATGAATTATTGAGTTGACTGATCAGCTTGTTTCACTTATCTAAAAATTTCCTGAAGGAATGTTAATGCTTGGGGGCAGAACACTGGTTTCCATGTTCTATGTCTTCTGTGACATTTGTGACTCTGAAGTGTATTTCTCGTCACAAGACTTTCAATCCTTGACCAATAACTTTCACAGCTTGAAAGCTAGAGACATCCAAACCAAGAATAAGAAATAGGAAAGAAGAAAAAGAGGACAAATTTGATGGACACAGATCTTGATTTTGAGTTTATCTTTTTCTTTATTTCCTATGTTCTTGGGAAAAAAATATTAAAAGTTTCAGAAACCGGAAGCCTTGCTTGACTTTCTTTGTAATTTTACATAGTCCCCTTAACTACCCTGTATCTTGCTTTGTCATCTGTTTAAAGGGAATGATTGGCCGGGTGTGGTGACTCATGCCTGTAATCCCAGCACTTTGGGAGGCCGAGGCGGGAGGATCACCAGCGGTCGGGAGTTCAAGACCAGCCTGACCAACATGGAGAAACCCCGTCTCTACTAAAAATACAAAATTAGCCAGGCATGGTGGCACATGCCTGTAGTCCCAGCTACTCGGGAGGCTGAGGCAGGAGAACGCAGGAGACAGAGGTTGCAGTGAGCCGAGATTGCGCCATTGCACTCCAGCCTGGGCAACAAGAGTGAAACTCCATCTCTGAAAAACAAAAAAAAAACAAACAAAAACCAAAAAAAAAAAAAAAAAAAGGGGGGGAATGATTATATCCACTCACAAGACATTAGTGAGAACCATATGAAATGCATGTAGAAAACTGAAAACTACTGAACTGCCTACAAATATAAGGGTAGTGTCAGAAATGGCCGTGATATGAAGAAACCTTGGTTTTCATATTGTGGGTATATCCCACAATCAGAAACCTAGAAAACTAATTCCATCAAATAACTTATTATATCAATGTCCATGCCCTAACTTAAAGATAAACTAATAGGAAAGAAGGTTGCATCCTGTGCTGGAAAGAATTCTGTACCAGACAGGCACCTAAGACCGTGTCCTGGATTAGTCTGCAGTGTAGTTAACAAAAAAGTAACACAAAAAGCATTTTACAAAATCAACAAACTGTATTTTACAACAGGTAAAGATAATCTCCTCCCTCTTTTTTACTAAATGACACTTGCCTGAGTAGCCAAGGGGCTAGCGGAAGAAGTAGCCCTATGCCTGAGAATGCCCTTCAAGCTTGTGCAAGTACTCAGTTTCTTTGTCACAGGGCATAGAAATGGACTGCTAGACTCAGGATGACTCCCTGCTGAGGATCGTCCTTTCTATATAGAGCTTAAATCTCCAGCCTACCCAATTTTTGCAAAGTCCTCTGCAGTAACAGAGTTTATGTGTTTGAAGGGGAACAGGACTACTTATAAAATATCAGCTCTGCTTCTTACTAGCAGATTTGTCGGCTTGCACAAATCACCTTACCTTTCTGAATCTTAATTCCTAATTTTATCTAAAATGTGGAAAATAGGGCCAGATGCAGTGGCTCACCCCTGTAATCCCAGCACTTGGGGAGGCTGAGACAGGTGGATCACCTGAGGTCAGGAGTTTGAGAGCAGCCTGGCCAACATGATGAAACCCTGTCTCTACAAAAATACAAAAATTAGCTGGGCGTGTTGGCACGTGCCTGTAATCCCAGATACTTGGGAGGCTGAGGCCAGACAATTGCGTGAACCCAGGAGGCAGAGGTTTCAGTGAGCCGAGACAGTGCCATTGCACTCCAGACTGGGCAACAAGAATGAAACTCTGTCTTAAAAAAATAATAATAAATAAATAAATAAAATAAAATCTACTTCATCTGATTGTTGTGAGATACCTGGACCATTGAGGGGCTTCAACCATGTTGGTTTTCTTTATAGTTCTCTTTCCTGTTTAAGGAGAGCCAAATGAGTGAATCTTTGTTCAATTATTCCAATGTCTCTCCATTTTCCTCTCTTTTCCTCCTAGATGACAGAATCAGACATCCAAAGTAAATATTCACAGCTATTCCACCACCACAGCCCTCTGATTTTATTGTCACCATGTAGAACAATCACATTCTCTAGCCCTCTCTTAGAGCTCAGTAACAGTTCAAAGCACCCTGTCCTAGGCTAAGCAAGCCTAGAAAGAGAGAAAGAGAAAGAATGAAAGAGAAAGAGACAGAGAGAGGGAAGGAAGGGAGACAGTAAGAGGGAGGTGGAAAGAAAGTAACCACCCAGTGAGGTCATCGTGCCTGCTGCCCAAATAGAGCTGATTTACTGAGACAGAGGAATTGTAATGGGGAAAGAGTTTAATACACATACAGCCCATTAAGTGGGAGACCGGAATTTTATTATTACTCAAATCAGTATCTCTGAAAATTCAGAGGTTAGGACTTTTCAAGGAGTTTGGTGGGCAGGGGTCTAGGGAATGGGTACGGCTGATCAGTTGGGGTCGCCATCATAGGGGTGGGGAAAACTGTCCTTCGTTGCTGAGTCCACCTCTGGATGGGGGCACAGAGCAGTCACTGGTTTGGATGGAGCCATCCAGTCATTAGAAATGCAAACGCCTGAAGAAAGATCTCAAAAGTCCAATGTTAGGTTATATTAATAAAATAGTGATGTTATTTACAGGAGTAACTGGGGAAATTTACAAATCTTGTGACTTCCAGAACAAAGGCTGGTTATTGCTTAACTACATCTACATCTTAGCAGAATTCAGGCTCCTCTTATCCTCCTAAGTTGGTGGACTTTCATTAATTTTACCAAGGCAATTTAGTTTTGGGAAGGGCTATTATCATTTAAACTATAAGCTAAATTTCTTTCCAATTTAGCCTGGCCCACACTCAGGAAAGACTAGGGCAGTTTGGAGGTTAAAGGCAGGATAGAGTTGGTTAGGTCAGAATTCTTTCACTGTTATAAGTTTTGCAAATATGGTTTCAGAAGGAAAAGTCATTTTCGACTCTGCACTTGGAGGCATTCCTTTAGTTTGTGTAGAAGCAGCTGGGAAGGAAGCCTGAGTTACAGGTCACCTAGGGATGGAGAGAGAGGCAGGTAGAAAACACTTGAGCTCAGAATTCTTGTTCTAGCTGAGCAGATGTATAGTAGTATGCAGTCAACAAATTGTCCTTAGGTGCTAGGTACTGGAGTACAAACATGAATGACACTCAGTCTAATTCAGTGCTATCCAATAGTATGTTCTATGATAATGGAAATGTGCTCTCCTGCACCTTCCAGTATGGTAATTACTAGCCATGTGGCTATTGAGCATTTTAAATGTGGCCAGTGTGACTGATGAACTGAATTCTTAATGTCACTTAATTTAACTTAGTTTAAATTTACATAACCACATGTAGCTAGCTAGCGACAATAATATCAGACAGCCCAGTTCTAATTTGTTGTTATTGGAAATATAGATTTGTGAGTGCTGGAATAGCTACCAGAAGATGACTTTAATCCATATACTCTCTTTTCTGGCATTAGCAGAGTTACCAAAGCTGTTGATGTTATGCTACTGGATTGTGGAGAGAGTAGGAAGACATTCAATGTATCCAAATCCAGCCAAATGAATAATACACCAAGCAAACCTCCATTTATAACTGCCTGTCAAGGATGCTGACCAGGTTTCATTCGGACATGGTATATCAGCTTCTGTTTTTAGGACGGCTGTTCAGATTGTGTCTGCCAGTTGTCATCTGAGAAGTAGACATAGAAGAAATTCCTGCTGAAGTGGCAGTAAAAATGATCCATAAACCTGCTGCTGATCCTTAACCTTCTGCATCCTTTCTAAGAGGATTCCTCGCACAGAGCTAATCCTTCAAAATCTTCTTTTTATGTGCTTTTGAAACACACCAACAACGATTTGAGACTGAGCCTATTATTTCCAGAAAAATTTTCAAGAACAAAGTGGTTGAGAATTAAAGTAAGTTTGTAAAGACAAAGAGATTTAATTGAATATGCACTTTGTTCTCAGAGTGATGTTAATTATCCTGTGGGATATGCTAAAATAAGTTAAGGTTATATTCTACATTAAAGAACTAGACATCTACTTTAAGGAAAATAAAAATAAAATAAACACAGACAGTGTGCAAGGCAGCTTTTGCAAACGCTATCCACTGCTGCCTTCTTTAGAACCACGTTGACATTCTTCATCCTTATATTCTGTCTTCACTCTTTCTGCCCAAACCACCACTGAGCAGGGCAAGCTCTATTCCACCTACAGGTTGGGTCTATAATGAGTCTTATTGCCATAGATCCTGCAGTTAATGTGCTTGGTGCCTGCTCTACAAACAGTTCTCTATGCCACTGTTCTCCCAATTCCACTTGTATTAAACTTTTTTGTTAAACAAATTTCAGTATTCTAGTCTCCTAGGAGAATCCCAAATTTTTTGGTGAGCCTGTACATCTGCTTAGTTTGCATTCATCTCTTGCCCTGATAGACTGAACTGTTTCTTTTTCTCCCAGCTGAAAGCTGAGAATTTTCTCCAACTCGAGCCATCCTGTTCCCATGCATTTGACTTAAAGTTTTCCCACATCCTGGCCACTCTCACCGTGGCCCACAGGCTGTGAGTCCAATATGGACTTCCTAGAATGTAGATTGTGGCACCAGCTAAAATCAAGCCTGGCTTTACCAGCCCCCTCCTCTACTTCCCTTCACCCCATTATCGCCCACAAACAACATGCTCTAGCTTGGAATTGGCTCCTTCTTCATGTAGGGCTTCCTCCTCCTCCCACCAACACTGACCATCCTGATCCTAACCTTCCCTGCAGCAAATCTGCTTGACTGATGACAAACCCCTGGTGCTAAGTATTTCAGGGATTCTTGGGAGCCAATTTCAATTTGTGCTAATGCCTGATGTTTGGTGGTTTGGCACACGTTATAGTTGGCCAGAAAAAAGCCCCAATTCCTTATCCCAGAGACTGACCAATGTCAAATACTTCAGCATTTGGAGTGTCTGTGACATTGAATCAGTAAACGTCACTATCAGAAATAAAATGAATCATCTCCCTTGCCTTTACGACACGCTTTCCAGCTCATTATTATAAGATGCCTGTTAAATTTTGTGTCCCCCTGCCAAAAGATTAAGCCTCGTGTGTGTTAGCAGCGCTAATGAACCACTTGCTTTTGTATCTTTTTTCTAGATGGTTTGTCACCAGGGCTGTCCTGTCCTGTAAAGCCCCAGTGACAGTGAGCTGTTGACAGAGTATTAGAAAGAGCTCAGATCTTTAAAACCAGGGATGTGACAGAGAATTTTTTCAGTTTCCCAATCTTTACAGTCTCTGTGCTCTAACACGATTCCATTAAACCATAAAGATTAGAGCTTGTCAGGCCCTTAGCATCTTTCCTCTGATTTGCAAAAACGAGTGGGGATTTGTTATTAATTCCTGTTGTTGCAGCTACAGAGCAGGAACCATTAACTATAGCTAAGCCATTAACCTGATTGGTATTAATCAGAAGTGTCCCATGAGTCATATTGGTGTGAGAGGCCTGGATGTTTTTCAGTAGAGGGGCTTTGTGGAATCAAATGAGAATTGATTGATGATCCCAGAGTGCATGTATCCAACTCAGGAACCAGCCACATTGTGGGTGCTTTGCTTTAATGAAAGCACTGCCCTCTCTGCATGCAAAGAAAGCAAGTTGGTTTAACTGACCCATCACAAAGATGGTCTGTGCTTTGAGTTACTTCTTCAGCAGGGAGATTGGACTACACAGATTTATTCGCAGTCTCACCTAGCTCTTCCTGAGGCCAATGTTGTGTATCTTGAGAAACAAGGTACTGCATTTTTCAAAGAGAAAGAGAGAGAAGGAGAGAGAGAAGTGAACTGGCACAAGTGAACCACTGGCATCTTCTGCCCTTCAAAGATTGCTCTTTGGAAGACTGGCCCAGAGATGCTATTCAGCACTAGCTCTTACAGAGTCTCTCCAATGGCTCCCATACATGGCACAACCAATATGTTTGAGGCAGATGTCAAAGAGTACAGTCCTCAGCCAAGACACAGAAACAAATTCAAGGAGTCCACTAGGGGATTAAGCCTGTGACCTTGGTGTCATCAGTATCATGCTCTAATTAACTGAGCTAACCAGACACAGGTGCTCTGGACAGCTGAGCTAACTCTCTATAGAAAAGGCCAAAACAGAAAAGCATTCCCCACAGCTTTCATAATCTATTATTTACCAGCAACCTTCTTAAACACTTTTTACTGAATGGCTGCCCTCAAAAACTACAGTCATGACTATGTCAACAAGAGAACCCAAATATTTCGGTAACTACCCAGATTACTAAATAACATTTACATTGGACAGCATACCACAAAAAGTTATTTTGAATAAGGAATATTTACCAGTTGGAAAAATGAAATTATATTCACAAAGTGGTTTCTAGTAACTTAATCCCAATTAATTTTTCATCCCCCACACTGTCCAAATACAGATGGTGAAAATCCAGAGGAGACCCAGGCAAAATGTGGCTATAAGACCTCTTCTGGCCCTGCCTCTTATGAACTCTACAATACAAAGTTTGTTGTTGTTGTTTGTCACTTGATTATATCCTGGTTCAAAAACAGACTTGAGAAAACTTATAGAAAAATATTTTACAATATATGGAAATATACATACCAGTACTACAATATAAAAACCTGAATAACTGTGGAAATTCAGTGAAGTAGCAAACAAGTATAGGAAAATAAAATGAAATGAGGAATACAGTTGGCATGTGTACTACAAACCAGAAGGTCCTGCACAGTTGTTAAAGGTGTTCTCAAAATTTGGTTGTTTAGTTGAATTGAGAACACAATATTCGTAAAATACAAACAATCATAGCCCAGGAGTTGCATAGTGGTTCCTAATAAAAAGACCTATAATGAAAGTATGCCAAAGTTTCTACTAAAGGGAGTGAGTCCCTCTTGTAAAACGGTAGATAAGGTCTTTACTCCTGACATCTCCATTGTAGAGGCAAAGAGGATATTATAATGAATGTCTTATGGCTGCTGCTTTTAGGGTTGATGATATGAGTTACATAATACCTAGCATTCATTCTACTTACTGACACTGGCCATGGACTACTTGGATTGTAGATTCAGTTTCCTGTGCTCAGGTCCTGACTCTAACTAAACTGTTTCTCCTTAGAGCAAAGGTTAATCCCATTTCTTTGTATTACCTGAAGCTTGTACCTCAGACCATTGCACAAAGTAGGTTTCTCAAAAATGTTTAATTAATAAAGATATAAGACATCTATTATTTTGTGTGTTTAATACCTCTCAATAACTTCTAGCTCAGTGCCACCTTCCCTTATCCACATGGTTACAATGAGTTGGGGCAGCCATGTTCAAACACTGAGAGCCCAGACCCTTGACCAAATCCAAAGATGATTTGGGGGAAGGCACTAATTCAAGCTGCACAAACCAGAAACTTGGCTTACCTTTGGGCATTTGGAATCGAGACTAAGCTAGTATAGTTAACCTGATTTAACTCTCCAATGGTGAGTTTTAATAACAGGCGTTCTTGATGTTATTGAGAGCATTTTTATGCTCTGGAGATATGGAAACTGGTCACTTCTGTGGCAACTGGAGAAGAAAGATTCACAGATGCAAGAAAAAGAAGGAAATGAGAGGCACAGAGAGACTTAACAGTTTCCCCTCACACTTTATTTCCTGAATGAAGTTCCTTGGTTCTGTAAGACATCTGTGTATCCATACAATAAATGTCTTTTTCTTAAGCTGCTTCAGTGGGTTTCTGCCATTCCCAACCAAAATTGTTACTAATACAATGGGCCATAGTAATCTAATTTGCCAATAATATTTTCAGTCATTGAATAAATATTTACTGGACACATACAATAAGCCAGGTACCATTCTAGGAGTTTGAAAGGCATCATGGAAAAAACAGACAAGATTTCTGCCCTGTTCTATGCCATACTACTCCTCCCTATGCTTTGCCTAAGGAACTGGTGATGTTTAACAAGGAGACAGTGTTAGGTATATTAGCATAGTTGTTTTCAAACATGTGAAGGTTAAACAAATCACAAAGGGACTTGACCCAAAAGAATTAGGGAAGGAGAAACTACCAAAGCTACTATAGTCTGGTAGGAAGTAGAACATTGAAAGTTTTCTAAAGTGTGTGTCTCAAAGTTTAGTATGCATTACAATCACCTAAAGGGGTTGTTAAAACATAGCCTCACCCACTCCCTAAGAGTCTCACTTAATATATTTGGGGTGTGGCTTGAGGATTTGCATTTCTAACTATCTCCCAGGGAGGGCAGATGCTGCTGCTCCACACATCACTCTTCAAGTTATTAGTGGTCTACAGCATGAAGGAGCCTGATTTCACCGTCAGTTCTTCCATGTGTTTAAAGAATGAACACCAACCCTTCACAAATGCTTCCAAAAGCAGAAGAGGAACAAACACCCAAATGTCTGTCAACTGATGAATGGATAAACAAAAGGTGGTATATCTATATAATGAAATATTATTCAGACTTAAAAAGAAATGAGATACTTTGAGTATATACTGAGTAATGGGGCAAATGTATCTTTATTTTAAGTTCTTTGAAAAAATCTCCAAACTGCTTTCCACACTGGCTGAACTAATTTACCTTCCCACCAACAGTGTATAAGCATTCCCTTTTCTGTGCAGCCTCTCCAGCACTTGTTATATTTTGACTTTTTAATATTAGTCATGCTGACTAGTATGAGATCTCATTGTGGTTTTGATTTGCATTTCTCTGACAATTAGTGATGATAAGCATTTTTACTGTGTATATACCCAAAGGAATATAAATTATTCTACCAAAATAAATCATTACCAAATAAATCATTCTACCAAAGAGATATCTGCATTCATATGTTCATTGCAGTGCTACTTGCAATAGCTAAGATGTAAAATCAACCTAGGTGCCCATCAGTGGTGGATTGGATAAATAAAACATGCTACATATACAACACAGAATACTATCCAGCATAAAAAAATGAAATCAACATGGATTACAGCAACACGGATGCATCTGGAAGCCATAATCCTAAACAAATTACACAGGAATAGAAAACCAAATACTGCATGTTTTCACTTATAAGTGGGAGCTAAACATTGGGTACACATGGACATAAAGATGGGAACAATAGATACTGCAGAGAACTAGAGTGGGTAGGTAAAAGAAGGGTGTGGGTTGAAGAACTACCTATTGGGTGCTATGCTCACCACCACAGATCCATACCCCAAAGGTCAGCAATATGCAACATACCCATGTAACAAGCTTGCATTTTTTTTAATATTTATTTTTATATTATATAATGCCCCTGAATCTAAAATGAAATTTGAAATTATTTAAAAAAATGTGTTATGGGATCCATACACCAAATCTCAGCATCATGCAATATACCATGTAACAAACTTGCACTTCTTTTTTTTGTTTTTTCTGAGACAGAGTCTCACTCTGTCACCCAGGCTGGAGTGCAGTGGTGTGATCTCGGCTCACTGTAACCTCCACCTCCCGGGTTCATGCCATTCTCCTGCCTCAGCCTCCCAAGTAGCTGGGACTACAGGCACCTGCCACCACACCTGGCTAATTTTTTGTATTTTTGATAGAGATGGGGTTTCACTGTGTTAGCCAGGATGGTCTCTATCTCCTGACCTCGTGATCCACCTGCCTTGGCCTCCCAAAGTGCTGGGATTACAGGCGTAAGCCACTGCACCCGGCCCAAACTTGCATTTTTTATATTTTTTTTTATATTATATAATGCCCCTGAATCTAAAATGAAATTTGGGGTCAGGCATAGTGGCTCACACCTGTAATCCCAGCACTTTGGAAGGCCGAAGCAGGCAGATTACTTGAGGTAAGGAGTTTGAGACCAGCCTGGCCAACACGGTGAAACCCCGTCTCTACTAAAAATACAAAAATTAGCCAGATGTGATGGCACACACCTGTAATCCCAGATACTCGGAAGGCTGAGGCACAAGAATTTCTTGAACCCAGGAGGCAGAGGTTACAGTGAGCCAAGACCACACCATTGCACTTCGGCCTGGGTGACAGAGCAAGACATTGTCTCAAAAATAATAATAGTAATAAATAAAAATAAAATGAAATTTGAAATTAAAAAATGAAATTTCGACATATATTGCAAAACCAATGAACCATGAAAACAGTATACTCAGTAAAAGAAGACAGTTACAAAAGGCCAAATATTGTGTGATTCCATTTATATGAAATGTCCAGAATAGGCAAATTTGCAGAGACAGAAAGTAGATTGGTGTTTGTCAGGGGCTGGAGGGAGTGAAGGACAGGGAGTAATTGTTAATGGGTTTCTTTTGGAGTTATAAAAATGCCCTGAAATTAGATAAAGTGAAGGTTATATAGGAGAGAACAGATTTATTTTCTCACCTATTGTTAGGTTCATGGCAGAGACCCCAATAAAAAAAGAAAGATCAGCAAGAGAAAAGCATATAAATTTATTTACTAAGTTTTAGATGACATGGAGACTTCAGAAAGAAGACCTAAAGAGATGGGGAAAGCTATGGGTTTTTTTGTTTTTTGAGACAGAGTCTCACTCTCACCCAGGTTGGAGTGCAGTGGTGCGATCTCGACTCACTGCAACCTCCACCTCCTGGGTTCAAGCAATTCTCCTGCCTCGGCCTCCCAAGTAGCTGGGATTATAGGCATGTGCCACCTTGCACAGCTAATTTTTTTGTATTTTTAGTAGAGACAGGGTTTCAACATGTTGGCCAGGCTGGTCTCAAACTCCTGATCTCAAGTGATCCACCCGCCTCGGCCTCCCAGAGTGCTGAGATTACAGGCATGAGCCACCACGCCCGGCAGCTGTGTATTTTTATGCATGGGTTTCATGAAGAGTGGACAGTCATGGAGATGTATGATTAAAGAATGAAAGGGTGTGGTCTAACAGCAATAAACAGGGGGGATCTTACTGAGGCCTGTTGGTTCAGATTCTTTCTAGTGTCCCTGCGTGACATTCTTTCCCTCTGGTATAGGGCAGGACACCTGTTCCATGAAGGTCTGCAGGGAAGAAGGAAGGGAGTCCAGAGTGACCTTCCTAGGTTTTATGATCTGCTTCAGAGAAGAAGAGCAAGAAAAATTCTAGTTTCTATGACCTACTTTAGGGGAAGGGGGTTCAGAAGAAAGCCAGAGTTCTTTCCTGTTTCTGCAGCTCAATTTCTTTCAGCTTAAAATATTCAGTATGCCAAGGTGCCATATTTTGGGGTAGCATCTACTGAACCTCAGTTGCATAACTCTGTGAATATACTAGAGATCACTGAATTGTATAATTTAAAAGAATAGGTGAATTATGTCTTGATAAAGCCATTACTAATTTTTTTTTATAAAGGAAGGCATGAGCCACCTTGGGACTAATGATGGACAGGCATTTCCAGTAAACTTGCAGTTACTGGAGTGGCCTGACCCTAATTGGAGATTCCTTGAAATAGATGTTGAAGTAAGGAAATATAATGAAAAACTTTACCTTCTAAAGTCCTTCCTGATCCTCAGATTCTCTAGTGAATAAATCGATAAAGAGATTGTGATTTTAAGGTCATACTTATGCTACAGAATTGTAGACAATTGACACATACCATGAATTGTTTGGGTATTGTCTTCTTAACATTGCTTTCAGGCAATTAATGACCCCACTACTTTGTACAGGATAAAAATATAACTAATGTTCTTTATGTGGACCCTGCTGAATTGAACTCCTAATATAACAGGTCTACTTCAGTGGCTCATGTACAGATCAATACCTAGAAAGGTATTATAGAAACATGGCACATTTAGACTCTTGTAGACTTAAACTCTGGCAGACTGTGATACAAATCCTTTACCACAGAGCAGTAGAGTTAATGCAAAAGATATAGCACAGCCCACGGGTTAAAGTTATGGCCTCTGGAGCCAGACTCCCTGGGTATAAAACCTGGCTCTGCCACTTATTAGCTGTGTGATCTTGTTCAATTTATATAACCTCTTAGCTCTTCAGTTATCTTATCTGCAAAATGGGAATAATAGGTAATTATCTACCTATGTACAGTTTAGTTTTATTATGAGAATTAAATGGCTTAATATTTGTAAAGCACTTTGAACAGATGTCTGACATACAGTAAACCATATAAAGGTTTGTTAAGTAAATCTACTGGGTCCAGTTTGGATAATTTTCCCATAAGGATGCCCATTTGGGAAGTAGATACTTATGAAAATGGGGCGACCTTCGAAATTACCCTCTTTTCTTGGATATTTCTGTTTTGTTAACTACATAAACAAATTCTCAACTAGGCTAATCTCAATTTAAGACTAAAAGTGGAACTTAAGAATGTGATTTGGATACATACAAATTAATCATTGATATGTTGGTTTCAATATAAAATATATTGTGCATTGTGTTCTAGCTCTTAAAAAGCCAACAAGGGATATGAAAGGTTTGTCTTTTCTCTGATGTAAACTCAAAAATTTTTCTCACCATAAAAATATGCCTCTTTAAGATCTATGTGTACAAAACTCTAACTCATTTAATCATCATATAGGCATTACAATCTCCATTTTACAGATGAGGGCGCCTAGTCTCGGAGGATTTAAGCGACTTCTGTGAGGCCACACAGCTAGCAAAGAGGGATAGAGACAGGACTTAAACCCAAGGCAATATAACTTCAATAGAAATGCTCTTTCCACTTTCCCACACTCCTCACTGCACCTACAGTAATCTATCAAGCATATATTTTTCCCTTTTAAACTTATTTATATTTTCATGCTGTAATAATTTTTGGTTGTGAGTTCTCTAAAGTAATAAAATGTTTTATTGGTTTGCCTCCTTCAAGCTACAGAAAGAAAAGAAAACCATAGGAGAGAGGCTAAAAAGTTGGGTTCTAAAATTAGCCACCCCATGTGCCAGGCAAAAAGCGTGGATAATCAGTGATTCCCAGTGTTGTCCTCTGAAGCTTTTGCAAACCAACCAGCAAGAGCCACTGCCTAAATACTCACTTCTCTTGACTGCCTTTGAGGACCAGCTGGATCCTCATCAAGCCCCAGTGATTGACCCCCAGTTATTCATTTGCCTCTCCTCAAGGACGCAAGGCCCTTCTTGCCTTATCCAGAGACATTAAAGAAAGCTGCTTGACGTTGGACATCAAATTGATTTCATGCCAAGATTTCACTCAACCACAGGTGACAACCATTGACGTGTCAAAGCCTTACAAGAAAAATAAACACGTCTGATGCAAAGAGTCCTTTGTTTTTGATGCCATGTTGAATTATGCACCTTTACACAGATCTGACAGTGGCTGTGACTATTTGCTAGAAGGCAGAGTGGAGGCACGTAGGGTCTCAAATTGTAGTGGCAAAGAAGGTCAAAGCATGGTGAATTCAAAGGGGACTGCAAATTTAGAGCTGAGGGAGAAGGCTCTTTCAGCGCCCTTCATCTTCCTTTTCTCATTCAACCCTGTGGAACTCATCTCATCATTCTCTGTCTCCTGCTTCTGAATGCTTTAAGTCACTTATTTGTCTATCTTCCCCAGAGAGAAAGCCTGCTGCTTAGAAAGAGCTTGAAACCACCTGCAATATTTCTCCCTTTAGTCATGTCTGCTCAAGGTGACGTAGGACTTTGGATAAGCATACTTAGTAGGCATCCAAGCTTTTTTGGCTTGACTAAAGCTGGGGACTGCCCACAGTTAAGACCTTTGTCTATGGCTATTTCCTCTTCACCTACCTAGCCTGAGGGGTACATAATCACTTCTCTGAGGAGTTTCCTAGCTTCAGCTGTTTCCGTGGAATCTTTTCTTCCAGCTGTGTTTACTCGTTTTATTTTTTTGTATTCTGTCTGAAGAAGATGGAATTTGCATAATTAAGAATGACCTGAGCAATCTCTGCTAATGCCTCCACTAAAACCTCTGAATATCCCTGTTAACTAATTACATCTATCATTGTGTCAGACAGGTAAAAGACTCCTTCAGTCTGTTGAGACAACATTATTCACCTGGGATTATCAAAGGTTTCAATTCTGGCCATTAGCTGAAATTGCTTGGGTCATTCATTATGGCCAATTCTGCATCCTTTCTAGACAGAGCAAAGTAAATGCAGAATCAGGAATAGATTAAATAGCCATGCATCAGAAGCCTAGTTCAGAACCTCAGCCCTTTCTTTTCCTTAGAGCTAAAGGATGAAAAATGAACAGAAAAACCTTGTGGTTTCCTCTTCTTACATCAGTGAGTATGTGAGCTTTTGCTTCAAGAAATTGGAGGTGATTATCCTTTCCCCAATTTTATTCAGCCTTTTAAATATCTGGTTTAACAAATCCATGAAGAAAAAAAAAAGTCCTTAGACTTGAAATTAAATCGCCCCATTCTCAGCTTTCCCTCATTAACCATGGATTATAGGTAGGGACTTGAGTCACTATTGGGGCAGTGGAGTGTGGGGTATAG
Organism: Homo sapiens; assembly: GCF_000001405.40. Classification (NCBI taxonomy): domain Eukaryota; kingdom Metazoa; phylum Chordata; class Mammalia; order Primates; family Hominidae; genus Homo; species Homo sapiens. The sequence continues at coordinate 208,918,716 of NC_000001.11, forward strand.
GTAGCCTTTCAGTTGAAATTACTTCATCTAAACTGAAAGCAGAACCCAAAGAGGTGGATTAAAGATTAAACTCAGACATTAACAACAAGTGGGGGGATGATGAAAACATATCTGGAAGATTCCAAACATTGGCATGGTAGTTATTAGGATGAGTAGTAGCGAGGCCAGGCAGTATACTCAATTCCTTCTGTATATGTCTTTCATTTTCTGGGGATATGGTTTTATCTGTCCTGTTCTGACACAAAATTCAGCATCCTTGTCACAAGTCAGTGAATATATTTTTATAATGATTCGGAGTCCATTATATACAACAACTACTATGGGCTTGGTAAAAGGATATCAAATGATACACTAAAATGTAAGCAGTTGGTGTTCAAATTGGAAAAAAAAAGTCATACAAAAATAAAGATAACTAGCAATTAAAGTTAGCTAATAATATTGTTCACTAATAGTATGATAGTATGACTTCTTGGAAAAAACTCGCTATCCAATCATAGTGTCCAATTTATCTTTTTTAGACACATTTTCATGGGTAATGCACATGGGCACTATACTCATTAAATGTGTGCTTGCCTTGCAGAAAGAGTGAGCTCAGAGATCATAGACCAAATCATTAGAGAAACCAAAGCATTGGTTAGTGAAAATATCTATATAAGTTACTAAAATCTATTTTTTCTTCAGTTTTTTAGAAATCTGATTATAAAGGCTGTTTTGTTTATTGCTTAGAAAAGTTTTCAGTCAGAAGAAAAAAAAAGAAGGTAGAAATTTGGAGTGAGCAGGATGCTTCCTTGCAATTATTCATTTAACAAATATGTCATGAATCCCTATTATGAGTCAGGCAGTGAACAACATGCTAGGGATATATTGTGTACAAAACAAACAACAATCCCTGCACTTGTGGAATTTTTCTATTGTGAAGAGACAGACATCAAACCTTAAACATAATAAATTAAGAAAAAAAACGTGTATTAGAAGGCGGCAAATCTCATGGAAGGAAGAGAGCTGGGTAAGGGGGCCTGGAAGTACTGGGAGGTATAAATAAATAGTTATGGAGAAGAAAATCATTCATATGATGGCATTTGATTAAAAAACTTGAATGAAGGCAGGAGGTGGGCTATGTGGATGTCTGGATGAAGGGTATTTCTGGCAGAGGACACAGCCAGTAAGAAACATCCTGAGGTAGGAGTGTGTCTGGCCTATTCACGAACTGCCAAGCAGGCTAAGATAAGGGAAGGAGGGAAAGATTTGCAGTAGGACCTGAAGTCGAGAGGTAACTAGGAGAGTCAGATCACATGGATCCATTTACACCATTGTAAGAACTTGCCTTTTACTCTAAGTGAAATGGGAAGACTTTGATAAACATTGAGCAAAGGAGTAAAATGCACTGATATTTTCATTTTTAAAGACTTACTCTGGCAGCTGTCCTGAGTGTAACCTGTATGGAGAATATGAGGAGGCAAGAAGAAAAGTAAAGCGACTGCTCTGGAGAGCATGGCAGGAGAGAGAGATTACTGTGGTTTGAATCCAGGCAGTAGCTGTAAGAGAGGAAAGAAGTAGTTGGATGATAGACGCTTTCTGAAGTACTAACAGGACTTGCTTAGAGATTGAATGACCAATAATAGAAAAAGAGAGAAGTCGATGATGACTTTAATTTTTTTTTCTTTTTTTTTTTTTTTGAGACGGAGTCTTGCTTTGTCACCCAGGCTGGAATGCAGTGGCGCGATCTCGGCTTACTGCAAGCTCCGCCTCCCTGCTTCACGCCATTCTCCTGCCTCGGCCTCCCGAGTAGCTGGGACCACAGGCGCCCGCCACCACTCCCGGCCAATTTTTTTGTATTTTTAGTAGAGACGGGGTTTCACCGTGTTAGCCAGGATGGTCTCGATCTCCTGACCTCATGATCCACCCGCCTTGGCCTCCCAAAGTGCTGGGATTACAGGCGTGAGCCACCGCACCTGGCCTAATTGTTTTTTCTTAAGCAACTAGAAGAATGGGGATGTCATTAACTGAGCCACGAAAAAGACTGGAGATGCAACTGTCTTGGAGAGGAAAATAAGAAGTTTGCTTGGGTACCTGGTAAACCCAAAACTCTATTAGGCACCCATGTAAAGATGTTGGGTAGGGTATTGGGTATTCTAGTCTGAAGTTCTAGGATGAAGATACACACACTTGGGAACTGTCAGTATGTAGATATTATTTAAAGTCATTGGGATGGTAATTTTGATAATCTTGGATAAGATTTCCAAGAGATTGCATGTCAGTAGAGAAGAGAAGGAGCCAAACACTGAAGCTTTAGGTATTTTAACTTTGTAAAGTGATGGAGAAGAAAATGAATCAGAAAAGGAGACTAAAAATACTAGCGAGTATGGTGCTACAGGAGCCCAGTGAAGAAAGTATTTTAAGCAAGAGGGATTGAGCACCTGTGTCACAAGCTGGGCAGGTAAAATGAGGCTTGAGACTTGGCCGTGAATGTAGCAATTGGAAGCAATCGATGACTTATACAAGAGCAATTTCATGGAAGTAGTGGGGGCAAAAGCTGATTTGATTTAGTTTAATAGAGAATGGGCATTGTGGAACTAGAGACAGAAAGAATAGTAAATTTTACTATAAAATAAAAGAGGGATAAAGAAATCCCACAAAATAAATATATGACTTAATGAGTTCTTATAAGGTGAACATTCTTTTAGTCACAACCCAGAACAAGAACTAGAACTATGCCAGCCAGTCCACAAGGCTCTCCATGTGTCACATCCCTATTTCAACCCCCAACCCCACCCAATTTCCTGATCTTGTAGTAATCACCTCCTTGTGTTTCTTTATGGTTGTATCAGTCAAATGCACATTCCCAGACACCATAGTTCAGTCTTGCTCACTTAAAACCCCTTTTGGCTGGGCAAGGTGGCTCATGCCTGTAATCACAGCAATTTGGGAGGCCGAGATGGGTGGATCACCTGAGGTCAGGAGTTCGAGACCAGCCTGGCCAACATGGGGAAACCCCATATCTACTAAAAATACAAAAATTAGCTGGGCATGGTGGTGCACACCTGTAATCCCAGCTACTCAGGAAGGTGAGGCAGGAGAATCATTTGAACCCGGGAGTCAGAGTTTGCGGTGAGCCAAGATCATGCTACTGTACTGCTACTGTACTCCAGCCTGAGTGAAAGAGACTCCATGTCAAAAAAAAAAAAAAAACTATGTCTTTTAACTATCTTCTAATTTATAGGTTTTCCCTCCCTCTCTGTATCTATGAATTCATACATGTGGATTTTAAACATCAGTAGGTGCTTACTTCACCAAAAAGATACAAAGTAGACATTATGTACCTCCTGATGAAAGAATACACCACCTTCTAGAGCCTTGTTGAAGGGATCAGACATAAGTCTAATCAAGCCAATAGATCTAGCTGCCAATTTGCAGGAAAAGAGAACAAAGAAAATGTTGAACTTCACCATATATATACTGTAATAAAATCCAGACTGTGGAAAACTGTAAGTCAAATGCCTGAATGATTCGATGGATATATTGTGTGGCAAAGAAAGTCTTATTTTATCAAGAAGAGGTAGTAATAGCCTATTTATAAGCTGATGACAATGATCAAGTAGAGAGGGAAAAGAACTAATGACGCAAGTGAGATGGGAGAAATTGCTGGAGCCTTATGTATGCAAGAGAGAGAATCAGGAGGTGATGCTGGTTTCACAATAAGGATGAATATACAAATGAAAGTCAGTAGATGGGTGCAGATGTGCTTAGGAAACCAGTCATGGTAATGGGAGTCTGGGATGTTCAGAATACTTCAGTTTCCTCAGTGAAGCAAGAATCAGTCCTTAGCTGAGGGTGGGGAGGAGACATAGGGAAGAATAAATGAAATAGGCATCAAAGAAAGTGAAAGAGTTCATGGGCTAGGGAAACACTGTATGGTAAAGTGAAAGAGTTCATGGGCTAGGGAAATGCTGTATGGTTTCTAAAATAAATTTTTTTTCTATTTTAGTAAAGTTCACTGGGCATGGGTAGTCATGGGCACCTTACAATATTTACTGAGAGCATAAGTCTTTCAGCCTAAATTTTCCCACCATCTCTTAAGAATTGGGTCTTCATTGAGTGACACTTATCTGTTCTCTGTATATCAGAGATTACCACTGGCATCAAGTCATTCTCTTTGGTGTATATTGCTTAGGACTGGCTGTGGCAGCTCTGTGCTGTGTCAAATCAGCTACATCAGAACAGTTCCCAGAGTTCCCTTCCCGGTGTGGTTCTTGGTTAGTGTTGGCCCTAGAGAATCATGAGATTTGGAATACAGAGATGGAGTGACCATTTTTACCCTCTGAAGTATAGTGCAGGGTGTCAGGCACTGTGGCGGCTTCCATGTTGCTGCTGGTCAGTTGGTTCACCTGCTTAGCATGGGGCAGCTCCTGGAAAAGCACCTGGATCTCCTTCTTCAGTTTCACGGAGTCTTGGGCCAACTGTGTACATGTTTCCATGGTGAAGGGCATGGGCATCTCCACTGGTCAGCCATGACATCAAGGTTGGAGGTAGTGAAAAACGGAGAGGGATTCCAGTGTGTCCACATCCCATTTTCCTTTTTGACTGCTGGTCTGGCTGACCTGGAGCAACTTCAGGCCCCACACCAGACACAGCCGCAGGCTGCTCAGCCAACTCCTATGATAGCATAGAATCTAGTTCCTGTAATGACCCCCTTTTCTGTATCACTCACAGCATTTTTGCTTCTGTGATCAAAGCCTGATTCATATGGTGGCTGCTGCCTACTCTGTGGAGTCAGCTCTCTTTGCAGTGAACCAGCTCTGCTGGCCTCCAATAAGATTGTCCCAGTTCAAACGCTGAGAGTTTCTTACTGTGGCCAATGAGATGTGAGAGCCAGCTGGTCTTCCCAGGCCTCTCATTTTGTGGCAGCAAGAGGTCAGGGCCTTTGTCCCTGGGGATGTTTCTTTTCTCAGGTGAATTCAACTTGCAATTCCTAATATCAGAACAATGTGGTTGCCACACGCCTGAGATGAAATGCTTTTTATAAGAGCTAATCAGATTCTACATTAATGAGAGAAATATGAAGCTAATCAACACCACAGAAGGTCCCTAGGCTCAGGCCTATTAAACTTCATAAAAAATTAATGACTGAAAGAGCAGACTCTTTTGTAAGGGGTCTCTTGTGGTTGGATAAGGGCCTGAAGTCCCATTCACCTCTCATTACATTGAATTAGCCTCACTTTCTAACCCAAAATATAATCCATCAAGTGGCATTTTCCTCTGGGTGTTAGACGGCCAGTGTTTGAAAACACTTGTAAAATATTTATTGCTTTTTCTCCTTCCTTTTCTTCCCTTCATTCTCATCCCCCTTCCACTCTCAGCCAATCCCTTCACACCTCGCTCACTATGGCTTTTCCCATTTTAATTAAAGAGATTTGTACTTCTAAAGCCTTCTGGGAAATGTCTTCAATGCTGTGGTTTGTAGATGCCTCTCCGGAGCTGCTTGGCAGGAAACCCCTAGCCCTTTGTTCAAAGCATGCTCAGCATCTGCTTGCAGAAACCAAGAAGAGTGAGGAAAGAATTTAGACCAACTGAGTTGAAAAATAATCCTAGCACTCCCCTTCCTGAACTCAGGTGCACTTTTCTTCATGTGAATATTGGCTGTAATCATTGAATCGCTTCAGAATAAAAAACATTTATCTACAGAGATGGTGGCCTCAACTCCAATTAAATCCAAATGCCCACCTACCACTCCTGCCACCTTTGCCCCAAACTATAATTCACCTTAGTCATGTTGTCGTTTGAGGTTAGAGAAACTCAACTCCATTACTCAACCAGCAGGATATAACAGGCTGCACTTGGCTCTCGGAGTGAGAAGTAGGTAATTATATACAGTGGGATGGGAGGGGGACTTCTATGTGGGTTCTGGCCAGAAAATTAACCATTAAAGTAAGTGATTTAAATACAGAAATCTTTTTCATGTTTAAGGAGCTCCTGTAAAAATGGCACTGCCATTGGAGGCAGCCTACCTTAGGGGGTTATACCACAGGGCACTGTCACTGGAGTGGTGAGGACAGAGTCTTAGAGCAACAGTCTGGGAACCCTGGAGAGAAGTGTGTTGGCCAGAGATAACTGAAATGGGTAGAAGGGGAATGATGTAAAAAATGGAAGCAAATCAAAGGAAATCTTCTCATACAGTCTGCCTGGAATGCCAACCCTGGATCCACAGTTTATTGAAGTCTTCCCCCATTTATCCACCTCTCTCCTAACTCACCAACCTCCAGGTTGTAGCAATGCACCAGGCTGTCCAGCACCATCCTCTGTGTTTTTAAATCGTGTTTCTCCTTCTGAAGAGTCTAAACTTGGATGCAGCTCTGGGGATTCTTGTTATACAAGCTATTAACAGGTCCCGGCAGCATGTGCCAGAAGAGGTGTGAAAAGGGGGGTCAGGCTCCACTGGCAGAAGTTTTGTCGGGGTGTGTGTTTTCCTGATTGCCGTGTCGGCTCATATTTCTGTTTCTCTGCTGACATGTGCAGGAGGTCAGGAGCAAGGGTAGTTCAACACATGAGTTCATACCCATGATTCAGGAAACACTGGTTTGCACTAAAGTTCAGTATGTCTCTCAAAGGGGTTCTGGGAATAAACTGAATATATCAATGTATGAAATAAACAACCTGCTATGGCAGCCCCTAACATTACGCTTAGTTGTTCTGTTTGCCATGTGATTGTTTTATAACCAAGGCTTATTCATGAAGTATAATCATGCCCTATTTACCCAATGGTCAGCTTTCTTTCTTCCTTTCTGTTTTTTGAGACGGAGTTTCACTCTTGTTGCCTAGGCTGGTGTGCATTGGCACGATCATGGCTCACTGCAAACTCTGCCTCCTGGATTCAAGCAATTTTCCTACCTCAGCCTCCCGAATAGCTGGGATTACAGGCACCCACGACCACACCCGGCTAATTTTTGTACTTTTAGTAGACACAGGGTTTCACCATGTTGGCCAGGGTGGTCTTGAACTCCTGACCTCAGGTGATCTGCCTGCCTCAGCCTGCCAAAGTACTGGGATTAGAGGTGTGAGCCACTGCGACCGCCCCCCCCGCCAGTGGTCAGCCTTCTAGCAACCAAAATTAGCCAGAATATAGCTGTTAACCTAGACATAGCAGAAAACATACACAAAAAGAGTTATAAAATTCATGAACTTTATGGGAGAGACATTGGGCTACCTTCAGGAGGATTGACTTAAAAATCATATAATAAGGATTTGAAATCTGATTTGCTCCAACAATATTTGATTTCTTCTAAGCTATCATCTACAACAGATGTAAAGTAGTTAAGTTTGGAGAGTGGTAGGCTCCTAGAAGCCAATGCATCATGAAACGACATCTGAAAAGAGTAAGGGAAACACTGAAAGAATAACCAAGAGTTACTGGATATACAAATGAGTTTGGGGGAAATTAAGGAAGAAGATAAGCTATGCCCTCTACCACTGAAATAATTCTAAGACATCTCTACACTAAGGCGCAACACGTTTAACTGGTGTGTGTGTTCATAACCCTCTCTCATCAAAAAAGTTTAAATTGTTTTCTGCCTTCTTTGCTCAGTAAGGCAAGAGATTTCGTTAAAGTTGTCCATAAATTGTGCACACAATACACACACACACAGGTACACACACACACAGGTATACACACACACACGGTGGCATTTTGAAATCATAATTATGTACATAAATACTATGGAGCCTCTGGTCCACTCTTGAGAAAACTATTCCTGATTTACTCTGTCTATTGTCTAATGTTCTCTGGCACGATCTCCAACCTGACTTCACCCCCTCAGTGTTTTTCCATGATAATTGCGCCGTGCATAAGTGGCATGTACAAGCCTTACCATATACCATATTTGAGTATAAAGTTAAGTTACATTTGCTACTAACCAAATTATGATGACTTAGCCAAACCTGTCATCTTTGGTGACTCGTTTTCCTCTGGTATTTCTGAGAAAATTGACCAGGCAGAGGTGGCTCATCTCACCGCTGCATCAGTGTCTGTTACTGCCTCTGCGTTGGTCAGTTGAGTCTTTCAATATCAAGACACTACTCTAGCTTGGGATGTGACTTATATGATCACGCTGTCCTTGCGGACAAGGGTGGAAGTGCTGTGCTCCCTTACAAAAGCATAGATAGTTCCCTTATTTCCCACAACAAAACAGAGGTCCAACTACACTTCTAATGAGATTCCCAAAGATTTGAGAGGTGATGGAAGGAAATTACTGCACTCTAAAGAGTGACTTACTTACTTCTTGACTACTGGCTACCAGACTTGAAGGCTGTCAGAGCCCGCCCCATAATATCGTTACAGGTTGCCCAATTTCCTGGATGCCTCCAACCAGCAGAGAGCTTACTTCTTCCTCAACTAATAGGATTGCCGTTTTCCTAAAATAACGGTCTATTCTCCCTTTAGCAGAAATTCTAATTTCCATCCACAGTAATGAGACTCCTTCTGCTTGCTGAAGAACACAGTGTTTCAACAGAAGTGCATTTCTCAGCCGGGTGCAGTGGCTCACTCCTGTAATCAGCACTTTGGGAGGCTGAGGCGGGCGGATCACGAAGTCAGGAGATCGAGACCAGCCTGGCTAACGTGGTGAAACCCCGTCTCTACTAAAAATACAAAAATTAGCCGGGCGTGGTGGCGGGTGCCTGTATTCCCAGCTACTTGGGAGGCTGAGGCAGCAGAATGGCGTGAACCCAGGAGGTGGGGCTTGCAGTGAGCCGAGATCACACCACTGTACTCCAGTCTGGGTGACAGAGCGAGACTCCGTCTCAAAAAAAAAAAAAAAAAAAGTAGTATAATTATAAGACAGGCTCTGATCCTTTTCACTTTTCAAAATTGAACAATTAGCCTCAATAGTATCTTGAAATTTATAGTCCAGTACAGTCTCAAATCTATATCGAAAAAGAAAGTTTTTCTCTTTCCCACTCTTTTTAAAGTAGTAATAGGCATATCTCTGAATAGGTGATCAAGATCATTGTGATAGCTCTTCTCTAAAGATGCCCAATGAACCACACCCCTGACATCCAAACCCATATGTAGTCCCCTCTCTCACTGAATCAGGATGGTTCTTTGACTATGACCAACAGAATGCAAGGCCAAGTGCCATGGTCCTCCTCTCATGAAGCAAGACTTCTGGGTTTGTTTTTTTTTTTTTTTTTTTGAGACGGATCTCACTCTGCCGCCCAGGCTGGAGTGCAGTGGCACCATCTTGGCTTACTGCAACCTCTGCCTCCCAGGTTCAAGCAATTCTCCGTCTCAGCCTCCTGAGTAGCTGGGATTACAGGCACCTGCCACCATGCCTGGCTAATTTTTTTGTATTTTTAGTAGAGACGGGCTTTCACTATCTTGGCCAGGCTGGTCTTGAACTCTTGACCTTGTGATCCACTTGCCTCGGCCACCCAAAATGCTAGGATTACAGGTGTGAGCCACCACGCCCGTCCTCATGTCTTTTTTTTCAGATTTTTCTTTTGTTGTTGTTGTTGTTGCCTACAGTCTCATTGCCACTAAGGAAAAAAATTATTACCAATAAAGCAGCCATATCTGTGTCCAGCTTCAACTGGACAAGTTCTATCTCAGTTCTGTTTTTATCGAAAAGCGTTGAAAATCTAATGATTTTGGAACTTTCCTATCTACCTAACTTCTCATTTCTATGTTACCTGGGCTCACAGAATTCTCTGCTAGCCCTTTTGGGCTTCATCCATCATGAGTAATACCACCAACTGATCATCCATAATATTATAAAGAGAAACTAGAATCACCACTATGATGGATGAAACAATCTCTGCAAACTGAAGTCACTATTAGTCAGCCCTCTGTCATTTTTCTGGTGACCAAAGAAGCTGCAAGGGCTGGACGATAGCTTGTAAGACTTATTGAGCCCTGATGGCCATGACGTTCTTTCTTCAGTTAAATATCAATAATTGACTTGCCATGAATTCTGTCTTTCAGTCTTAATTTTACATGGCATTCAAGTTCAAAAATTATAATTTCCCGTGCTGAAAATAAGAGGACTTGTTGCAGACTGCCAGCCACATTTCCTGTCTATAATACATAGACAATGAAACCACTCTAGACATGATATTGCAGTGTTTCTGCTGAGAAGTCCTTAATCTTTGTATCATCTGCTCTGGCTCCCCCAAGAACAATCTCTTGGCGAAATTCCATAGCTCTAAGTCTGGCTCATTGAATATCCTAGTGAGCCAGGACACTGTGGACTAAATGCGGTATTTCATTTGTAACTATTCTTAAAAAATTAATTTCATTAGTTGCTGAACAGTGGAGGCCAATAAACAGTCTTTGCCCCCAACCAGGCTCATATCATTTAAATTGAGAAACAGTGTTTTCTTTTGGTGAATCTCCACAATCATCAACTAGGAACCATCCCCAGGGTCAAACGGAGAACAGGGATTAGTTGAGGAGATACCAGTTGGAGTTGTAAACCGATAGTCTCATTCCAGTCTCTGAAATAGGCTTTGTTTCCAAAAACTGCCTTTAATTTTTTTTTCCTCAAAATTCAGGCCTGAGATCAGTAGCCCTTCAGAAACAATTCCATTGCACTGTAAGATACTTACCTTGAGAGAGATGCCAGTACGAGTTTTGGCATTAGAAATACAGGTGGCACAGCTTCCTATGGCTAGGTCATTTCTAAAAGGAAAAGTGTTAGACTTTGCTGACCAATATCAGGATTTCAAAAACCACTGCATATTTCACTGGTAAGTCTCACATTTTAGGAGAGCTGGAAACTTATCAATGAGATTGCAAGGGTCTGTCGATTACCTGCCAGATTTCTCTTAACAAAGTACCAATGACTTGAGGAGAAGAGTGATGATCTACCTTTAGTGGGGGAATCAGTGGCCTAATATAGGAGCCTTCATCCAAAGGCAGCAGTATGTAATTTAACTCCTGATGTTCTTGAGGACTGTGGTAGAAGATCATCATGAATCCACAGTGTAGCAAATATGCCAATATTGGGAGTTGTTGGTCGTGACAGTGAGTGCAAAACAGCACATCTAAACGATCCACATGAGTCAGCTGGGCTTGGCCATTAGCCGTAGTGACTCCATCCTGCTCATTAATCATTTTACATGATACACAATGGGGGTTGAGCCAAAATTAAAAATTACTACACAACATGGAATTTGGAGATCATTTACAAGCAGTCAAAACTGAGATTTAAAAATATAGAAAGCCAATGGTTTACTGCAACTATAATTTCAATATGCTGAGAAAACAGTGTTTTCTTTCTGTGAATCTCCATAATCATCAATTAGGAGCCATCCCCAGAGTCAAACAAGGAATAGGCACTAGTCAAGGAGATATCAGTTGGAGATGTTAATAGACATTATCTATAAAAAGGGAGGGGATAAAATAGCTTGGAAAATTCTGCAGTAAACAGATTGAAAGGCTTCTTCACTCTAACACATATTGTGTCTTTAATTTACTGAAATATTTTAGGAACTTACAACTTCATACAGAAAATGACTGAAAATAATACATCTATTATCGACACACGTATACATATATGTATATACACATACTTACACATGTCTAAGCACATCTTTGTAAGTTATGAATACAGCACTTGTTGTAGAACAGTAGCATAGCATTTTGCAGAAGTTTGGAATCCTACAGGAAAATCATGTTAGACTTCCAGAATGCATCTTTTAAATTTCCCAATTTCTCCTTCTTATGTGTAAAAAAAATTCCTAAGTTAAGTGATTTCTCCAAGGACTTGCAGGTACTTGGTAAGACAACTAGGACTCACGTTTTTCTATAGGATATTGATTTTTAAATTATATTCAAAATTCAATTAAGTTTAGTCAGTATTTATAAAGTAGCAATATTTACATTTAACTCCTGATTAGATGTAAGACATAAGAAGCCTGTGTCCTGGTCATTACATTAAAGGTGTTTATAATCTCAGTTTTAAGAGAAGAATTATTGCCCACAAACAATGAGGCTTGTAGAGTTCAAGAAACTTGCCTGTGTATCTTCAAAACCACCAGAAAACGTCAAAGTTGAAATTCACATCCAGCCCACTTTGGTCATAAAGCCCACACTCATTTCATTATTCTACAATGAGATGAAAATGGTCAGGATTCTGTCTTATTTGTCTCTATATTTGGAAGAACTAAGACAGCAGCTAGCACCCCACTGGAGCTCAGTTAATATTTGAATGAATACACGCAATGAATCTCAGACAGGGCTTTGATCATGGGTAGAATGTGACTAGAGGAAGAAATGAAGCGACTATTCCACACGTGGGATCTTGATTGCTAAGCAGGTAGGAGATCAGCAAGGCAGAAAAAAGGGAAAGGAGCACACACGTTTAACTCCAGATGAACTCCTCAGCTTTGTGTTTTTCTCCTGTGCTTGTGAGACTCTGGATTCTGCAATGCCTTTTTACCAGATCTGCCCATGGGCCCTGCTCCCTGCTGCACCAGCTTCTTGTGGACAAAGAAAGAGGATAGGGCAATGCACTTGTCTCTGCCTCTTGGCATTTCAAAATCCTCCCTTGGCATAGGTGGTCAGACAGGGAGTAGGGCAGGGATGGCTGCAGAAGGGTTGGTGACAATAGGCAGAAACAGGTGGTAATGAGCACAGAGGGATTAAGGCAACTTTAACTAGACAGTTTGGCTCTCTTCTTCTAACTCATTAGAATTTCCTCTGTCTTTTCACAGAGCATGTGCCTGTGGCAAACAGCACCATCATTTTTTCAAGAACTGAAAGGAAGGGGATGCTACAGAGAGATGAAGCATGTTACCATATCAAAAAATCACCTAATACTGGGTAGAATGATTAGGTTTATGTGGGCAGCACACACACACATGCATACACATTCTTATGCTCAAACAAGTCAATTGAGCCGTGGAAATAACACTGACACTGAATCTGGAAGGAATCAGGTGTCAAGTGTAAAAGAAATTGAATGTTCCTTGCATTTCCTTTCTATTCGATTTATGTTTGGTTTCCCTGGGAAACTACAACTGGGAGGCAGAGGGAGTTGATGTTCTTCTCTTAGGTAATACCGTTCAGCTGAACTGACTGAAAAAGTTTATATTTGAAAATATATAAAGCAAAGTTGCTGCTGTTTTTGTAAGTGATATCAGCAACATCTACAGATTTTTTCTCCTGTAAAACTGCATATTTAGAGAATTATATACAACAGTGACTAACGGGCATACAAATCGTCTGAAAATCTTGTGAAAATACGGACTGTGATACTCGAGGTCCAAGGTGGGGCCTGATATTCTGCATTTCTAACAAGTCCCCAGGTGATATGGAGGCTGCTGGTTTGCAGACTGTGCTTTGGATAAAAAGAAAACACGGCAGCCTCTCTATAGGCAAACATGTGTTGTGAGATCTACAGAGAGAGAGAGACACAGTAGAATCAGAGCTACCAGTTTCCAACATTCCTAAAAAGGTGATTGGATAGGAATCCATCAACTGCCTCAGGAGCAGATTTTCTTTACTGACTCAGAAAGAGCTCATTCCTTCACAAGGCCTGTGCAAACCATCCTGACAAAGGTAGTTCTGTGAGGGTTCCTCCATCCCCTTTTCTTCTTCCTCAGGTGACATGGACATATCTAATGGCAGTTTGTGCTTCATCACCCATCACTGAGAGGGCTGTGAGCCTGTCACTGCCCAGAGTGACAAGCAATGGGTTCCTCCATTTGGCCCTGCTGTGAACAACCAGATTAAATTTATACACTCCTTCACCCTGTGAAGGGTGTCCTGACATCCGGGGAAAATTGAGGGTAAAGAGGTCACTGCCACTTTATTTGAGCCCCAAAGGCTTTTCTCGATGCTGTTTGACATTATCCAAGATACATTTTTAAATCTATAACGGGAGTGAAGAGTTGTAATTGGTTTTAGGTACCCAGAGACTTCTGGGCAAGAAGGATCTAAGTTGTTGCCCCTGTAAATTACCAATAGTTGAAATACAGAGAATAGAAAATGAAGCTCTCCACATTGGGCAGTGAAACCAACTTCTGCCTTTGAGGGAGACTCAGAGTCTCAAATCCAGGGTCCCCTAGGAGCAAAACAATCTTTGCCTTCTGTGCAGACCAAGCCTACCAACACCACAAGGAGCCCATCCCCTCTCCTTTTAATTCTTTTCAGTGTTCCCCTCCCCTACTGAAGGAAATGCAAATCCCCCTCTAAATCCGTCCTGTGTAGGACAAGGAGTTTCTCTTCTACAGCATGAAGAGTCTAGAGTCCAAGCTTTGCTAAATTCAGCAGGTTTCCAGTCTATGCTGCACGTAAAGCATTCAGTTCCTTCCCAGCCTAAAAAGTCTATTTTGTCTTCTTTGGGCTGCTGGTCACCCATAAGCTAGCCACAACCTCTTTTCACAGCATTCTTTTTTTGTGCTTAAAATAAGACCCTTCAGAAGCTGTTTTTTTTTGTTGTTTTTTTTTTTTTTTTTTTTTTTTTGCTTCAGGCACCAAGATATCCAAAACTTTTCAAAGGATTATTATTCTTTATGCTATATCCTGAAATTCCTGAAATCTCCAGAACGTCTTTCCTAAAGACTGCATTACACTAGTAATCTCTACTTTTCAAGATCTAGCATTTCCCTTAAAGTACTAATTCTTTTCCGTTCCTAAGTATTTTTTCTCCTAGTCTTCTTCCTTCCTTCACTGTCTCTCTTTCTCTTTCTCTGTCTTTCCCACTCTCCCCTTACACACGCACACACACTCATGCACACACGCACATATATTCTCTATCTCCCCATCCTTTCCTTTACTCTCTGCTGCAGAAGAGAAAGATACTATAAAGATGCCAAGGATGATCTGAACTTGCCGTCAGGAGAATAGACAGGTGCTATCTTGAACTCAAGAAGTATATGAGCCATATAATCAATAAAATGCATTAAATGAATTGCTTTTAGTTTTCTTCCTCCTATGAGAAAGTCTTAATTTCTCAGCTGCATGCAGCATGGGCCCAGCTGCTAGTCTTACAGCACAGTATTAGGAATAGGCAGGAAAACAGAATTAGTTTTTATAAAGTGATAATCTCTCAAGACCTCCATCATCTGCCCCTCCCCCTCTTATTCTAGTCCCTCTAGGTCCGTTCTTGGCTCCCAAAAAATTAATTCCTAAAAGTGTCTATAGTCACCATTAATACACTCATGAGTATTCTTTTCTGGAATAAGAGAGTGTAGAGTTCATGTTAAGAGGTACTCCCACAGCACGCATGTGACTGAATTGCATGAAAGTGCACCTTTGTCATCCCACCGTGGTGTACAACCTCAGGTTTGAGCCACTTGCTCCAACCACATCCCATTCCATTCCCATCCTTCTAATTTCTGGCTTCATATGTGTCCTCAGAAATGATGCCCGGTTCCAAATTTCTTGATACAACTTGGCTCTCCTCACCTTGACTATAATTTGCATTTTTCCTCCAGATACCATTCACAGATAACCGGCAAAATTGTTCAGCCTGGCTTTCAAGTTGCTGCCCTAATGCTTATTCTGTACCTTTAATGGGAACCAGACACAGACTGTTTACATAATTTGAGTACTGTTAAACACATGTTTTGATTTTTACAAATACAGGCAACTTTTATACGCAGTACAATTGGTTTTATAAATGATTGCTTGCTTATTCATGGTTATGCATTCCCAATATCAGGTATCTTGTTAAATTTAGTTCTACAATCTGGACATTTTTACTGCTTCTTACCAAAGCTGGCCTTCCAAGAGCTGTTGTAGAGAAGGCCCAAGGGAGATGTCTTCAAGGACACTGCCATGAAAGATGATACAGATGAGAGAAAGAGAGGGAAACAAAGCAGAATCCCTCATGAGGAGCCAGTGCTTTTTAGCTGATGGCCTCATAGTCATATTTCCATTCAATTTTGAATTTCCATAAAGATGCCATAAGTGATTTGGACTTGCCTTCAAGAGAACGGATACATAGTGTCTTGAACCCATAGAGTAAATGTGCTGTACAATCGATAAAACACATTAAGCGAATTGCTTCTACTTTCCCCTCCCCATGAGAAAGTTTTAATTCTTTTTTCTGATGCTGTATAGTCCCAGCTGTTGGTGTTAAAGGAAGGGAATAAGCAGTGAAGAAAACGGAACTTGTAACTGAGCGATTATCACAAGACTAGACCTCAATTCAGCAAGTTGTAAAAATGAGGGATGTTTCTCCCTCTTTTGAGAGGAAAAGATGCCTTGATTGTGGATAGATAGATTATGGACCTCATGCTTACTGAGGGCACATCAGAAGTAATGATTAATGCAGTACTCTTCGGAAGTTAAGTGTCTTTTCTGTTGCAAAGGTAGCTCTGAGCTCCTCGGTTGCTCAGGTCAAGAGTTAGGGCATCCCAGAGTGGTGAGTAAGTGTTGAGAAGATTTCCCCAATAGAAAAGCACTTTGCTAAATAATCATTCAAGAACAGTAGGATCTTATAGAAGTCATGACTAAGTGGGTGGGGTAGAAATGAACTGCTGCGGAGCTGCTAAAAAATGACTGGGTTGGGCCGGGAGCGGTGGCTCACGCCTGTAATCCCAGCATTTTGTCAAGCTGGGGCAGGCAGATCACAAGGTCAGGAGTTCAAGGCCAGCCTGGCCAACATGGTGAAACCCCATCTCTACAAAAAATACAAAAATTAGCTGGACATGGTGGCGCGTGCCTGTAATCCCAGCTACTTGGGAGGCTGAGACAGAAGAATTGCTTGAACCAGGACCAGGAGGCAGAAGTTGCAGTGAGCCAAGATCCTACCACTGCACTCTAGCCTAGGCTACAGAGTGAGACTCCATCTCAAATAAAAAACAAAAATGACTAGTTGATCAGTTGAAAGGAGACATTGCAAATGTTGGTTGGCCAAAAATAATGTTAAATATCATAATTGTGATATTAAAGACCATCATGTGTTAAACACTGCACCAATTAACATGCATCATTTCACTTAATCTTAAATGAAAATTAAATGAGGTTGGTACTTTTATTTACGAGCCCCATTTTACAGATAAGGAAACAGATCCAGAGAAAGCAGATTTCTATCTGCCATGTGGCTGACTCAGTAGCAAATAAAGATTCAAAGCAAGGCAGTTGTCCTCCAGAATGTGTGCTCTTAAACCATACATAATATGGGGACAAATAGGAAAGAGTACCTTCTTTTGTTTTCCTTCTTGAATTTTAATCTTTCTTAGCAGATGGTTTCAAGCTGGCCTAGTACATTCACAAATATCACACAGCATAGAAAGCCATTCTCTTTTATGAGATTTCTCAAATGAGCACACATCCTGATGACACAGAAACCACAGAGAATACAGTCAGGATAGACTGATAGATATCAGAGGAGGGTCAGAAGCTGAAGGCACACCCCATCCCCACCTCACACAGGAGAATCAAGAGAGTTCTAAGCAAAGAGACCCTTTGGGCTCCCTTTGACATTGATGGAAAGATGCCAATTAGTCTGGGACCGACGTTTTCTTCTAGACAGAAGTCTCTGAAAATGCCATTAATGCAGGCAGGCAGGGGGTAGACAGCGGGGGGAGGGAGTTGATTGCTGGAATTCCATAATTAATTGTGTGGCATTTGGAGTAGTGTGACACAAGGTCTCCATTCAGCCCTCACTCTCTAGAGAGAGATGTCATTGTTAGAATTCATAGAATGCAAGAAGAGTTGAAGAACTATAAAGATCATCTGGTTCAGACAACCCAATTAACAGGTGAGGAAATGGAGACCCCAAGAGGGGACATGACAAGCCCAGGGCCACAGAGCTAGTTAGTGTCAAGAGCTGGGCACGACCTTAGATTGCCTGACTTCTATTCCAGTGCCCTTTCCACTCTACATCTTTGTTTCCACTGCACGTGAGAGAACTCCTCAGAAGCCTAGTCACCAAATGGCAGTGCAGAGTTTCATTATAGCAGAGGAGAGCAGAAAGGTCAAAAGAATACAAACAACCTCCCACTCCCACTCAATTATTTTAATGATGAAAAATTCCTAAACAATAGGGGGTGGGGAATTCGTCTGCTAAGAACAGGCATTAATTGGATTGTTAACTCTGGTGTTTCATAGACATGGAGACTCCTAACATTGTAAGACTATTGTTGGAGTTGGAAGTAGTATTTGGACATCATTGAATTCAAGCTTCTCAGGCATAGATGATGAACCCGAGCCCCAGAGAAGGAGCAACTTATCCAAATAACTCAGTTAATTAATGGCAAATCTGGGCAGAGGATTTCAGGCCTCAGGTTTCCAACTCAAGTATCCTCTTACCTACATCACAGTTTCCTTTTAAGAGCTGGGCATGCTGAGGGCGAAGAGGTCAATGAGAGATCATCGAGCCCAGTCCCACATCTTTTCTTTAAAGAATGACTTGAAGTAGTCCTTTCTCCAACAAATAGCTTTAGAAGGGTAAAGTGCAAGGTGAAATTTCCAAACTTGAACTTCTATGAAGGAAGACTTCCCAGTTGTTGCTTAAGAGTTAGGGCAGAATGGGCTTTATATGAAATCTCTTTCGCAGGATTACTTTTCAGATGGCAAACTGGAAATATTTCAGAGAGAAACAGAGATGCAGTCAATCTTGTAAAGCACCTATGAGCCAGGCATTGTGTTAGGACTACGTTATAAAGAGGCCTAAAACAACATCTCTGAAGAAGCACACAGTCCATTTAGCCAAAGAAAGGCAGACCTTTGAGGAGGGCTTAATGTGCTTGACAGAGAAAGTGATGTTTGAGCAGGAGGAATTTGTTTAACAGATATGGGAAAAGGGGCATCCCAGGCAGGAGCAACATGTCTAAGCACTGAGAGAGCCCTAAATTCATGTCATGTTCAAAACTGTCTTCAATAAATCCACCTAGGAGGTAAAAAGGCACAAATCACCACCCATTACTTGAACTGAGAAACAGTATTTCACCCGATCCTATGAAGCTGGTATCTGTGATTGGCTTTGGTGAGCCAAGTCCATGACTTGTTTGCCCGGCAGTTTGATTTCCTTTCTCCAGAGACCCCCCTCAATTGCTCTGCACACCAGGTTGCTGCTAGTATCAGAGGAAGTCGTGGTTTAGTCTTGTAAATCCTATCAGAGCCATGGGAGAAATCCTATTCTAAAAAAGCCAATTCTTAAATGCCAGGATGATGTTTTAGCATCAACCTGTTCTGCTTGTACAAGATATAGGTTCCTTCCATTCATGTCCAATGTAATGTGACTCTGGGGAGCTGCTGTTTGAAGAAAGTAAATGTAAGTTTTGAGTTCAAACTTATTTTCCAAATCACCCAATCCTTGTGCTCTTAGCCCAGCAATCTGATGGCACTGTGATTTCTCTGGGCACTTTGGCCTGCTCTGAGCATGTTCAAAATCAAGAATATGGGTTGCTGCTGGGGTGTTTCCTTTCATTTCTCCTAATTTTATTTTCTACACTTAAGCAACCACCAACATGAAAGGGACTTCAAGGGATTTATTTTTCCCCAGAAAGAATTATGAAAAAAAAGGAGAAGAAATCTAATGAGGAATGCATTTCCACTTGCAACTTGCCAACTTTCCATAGTGAATGAATATGTTGCAAGGGATATAACTCAAGAAAAGTCTGCTGAGGTCAGGAAAGACAACTTACCCAAAAGGCCAATGGCCATAGCCATGTTTAGGCTTTCTCCCTCCTCCTTCATCTCATCCTCAGTTCCCATTTGTGGGTGACTTACTAGGATTTGCAAAAAGTTCCCATTTGTGGCTCTGTAATGATTTCTTACTGTAGGATGATTCCCATTGATTGTATTGAAGAGAGAAAAGGAAGAGGTAGAGTATGACACCCAAATTGGGAGGCCTAAAAAGAAAATGGGAATCGGAGAGTCAATATGTGTTCTAGCCCCTAATTTTGGTTCCAGTCTGAGCCTTAGGGCAAGTTCTTATTTTTTTATCTATTTACCCAGACCAAAATGAGTTTTTACATTACCCTTTATGTCCCTGGGGTGTTTCTTAGGCTAAAGAAAGATCTAAGAGACAGCTGCAGAAACACCAATTGTATCTTCACGTTTTGCATGAAATGGACAGCCTGGAGGAATATGGCATAGCTCAAACCCTGACACACCCCATGCCAACTCTGGAAAAGGCAAGCAAAAATATACACAGGGTCAATTTCATGGGTCATGCTTTCTCGTCTAAGGGGTAAAATATTTAATAGAAGAATGGCATGCTGCTGATGATGAAAGATACAGTGATTTTTTTCATAAAGAGCATGTCTCCTGGAAGTAAAAATGGACTCGGACCAGGAAATCTTAGGACAATTTGGTAAAGAGTCTCCACCAGGCATCTGGAAGATGGCGGGCTATATTATGCTTCTTAGCGTCAATGGGAAACAGGGACAAAGTCCAATTAGTATGTAGCTGGTTGTGTGGATGACAAAAAGTGGGGAGGTTTGTTCAGCATCTGACTTCTATAAAAAACAAATAAATGAGAAGAGAACCCTACTTCAACACCTGGAAACATTTTCTAGAGCTTATTGATTGCTCCTCATGGAAAAGAGTTTGTTTAATAAAGACCATTGGAAGAAGAGTAAAATGCATGAAGAGAAGGATATGTACAATACTTACAAGTATTATCCCTTAGCAAATACTGGATGTTCCAGTACCTAACTCCTGTTTTTTCCATGAAATATGTTTACCCAACAGAATTGAAACAGAAGCCACAATTTGCAGAACTATCCTATAATTCATAAAACAGATCAACTGCCCCAAATCATAAATATGGAAGAAAACTATATAAACTCAAACTCTGTTTTTTAACATCAGCCTATTGTGACCCAGACATTGTATATGACTACAGAAAAGCTGACCTTACAGTAACTCTGCATATACTCAGATGTTCTAAAGATTAGACCACTCAGCAAGCAACTCCATCTTTTATGAGTTCTAACTAATCCCTGCCAAGACCATGATATGATTAACTCTAGTCCCTTGAAAATCTGTAGGAATGTTTCCCTAACTTCTTCCTTTTGAGATTCTCCACAGTTTACCAACAGTGTGTGTTCTACCTTTCTACAGTCAAATTGAACTTTGACTGCAGGAGTGTTCCTGGTGCTCATTGGCTGGTGGACTTTAACACAGATGGCTCTAGTAACTGACTTAGGGGCTGTTCTTGGAGACAGATGAATGGCCTCAATCAATTCTCTTCCTTTTCTCTCATTATCTCAGTCTGCCTTTGCATCTGGTCTTTGTCATATCAAGAGAAGTTCCCGTGCCCAGTTTTATTTGGCTCAGCCAAGTTCCTCTGTCAATTATTCCTTAGCTAAATTCAAGAAGACTTTACCATCTGACTAATTTTCTAGTCTGAGGACACATTACCTATCTCATTTTTAATTCCATCTTTTCTTTTTATATTTGGAAGATGGGTTGATATTTGCAAAAGAAAAGAAAAAAACACAAAAGGTCTCTTTGAAACCTCTGAGTTCTGACAGACAGGAGCTTAGCCTCTGAAATGGCCCCATGGTTTACTCAGTTCAAGAGTGCATTCAGAAGGACAGGCCAGGCCAGGCCACATGGGCCTGACTCTTCAGGATTCTTGGATGTGGCTTTTCTTGACCGACATCTGAAAACTCTGATTTACAGCCCTGATCCCCCAGCTCACTACCAGTAATGTCAGCTGAAACACTCCATTTATTCAACTATTACATACAAAGCCTCAGATGAGGTTGTTCTTTGAAAAGTAACTTTCATTGTTTTATGTTCATAATATGTGCTACTGAATATTTAGAATAAACAGATATTAGTATCTATATCTTGCATGAAAAGAACAATAAAAATAACTGCATTTATGTAAATAAAAGAATAAAATCTTATCATCAAACTATAACCAATAGCTTTCTTTTGACATATTAACTTTCCAGACTTTTTAAATATGTGTCTAGTATCTAGACACATATTTTTAAAATAAAATTATGCTTACCTACAAGAAACATTGACTCCAAGCTGTATATGGTAAAGACAACATGGCTTTAACAGATTTCTGACTCTCCATTTACCTATAGTCTTATCATTATTAATAAAAATAATGCTATATTTTACACATCATTTTAGCATTTAAAATAACCTTCACATATGTTATCAAATCTGATTTTCACACTACCTGTAAGAGACAGATAAGCTGTTAGGTATTGTTATCATTTGTACTGTGAAAAAACAGCTGCCAAGCAAGATAGGGACTGAATGGAGTGTTGTTTGATGTAAAAGGTGAATGTCACATGGCAATACAAAGTCAGCTCTTAGAGAAATAGGCCAAGAGCTTAAGAGGCCACACAAAGGGACATTTGCATTGCCCAAACTTTACTGTCCAAAATTCACAGGTTCAGAGGCCTTACCTTCTCAGTATTTAACTCTGGAATGATCTGACTCAGGGATACTGGCTTATACAAAGGTCACTTAGACCAATATCTAGAATCCCAATTGTAATGTCTTATCATAAGAAATAAGATACATGTGGGCTACACATTCACCTTGGCTGATCAACACTGCCTTTCCCTGTAAGCTAGACATATTAGAAGGCTTTTCTTTTTTAGTTAGCTTGGAGAACACTGAATGAGAAGGATGATTGTCAGTTACGTATTCCAGGGTTTAATGCGTGCCTGTCGTGACCTGCCACAACCCATGGACATCCCTCCACCCTACTTCAGCTCCTATCCACGCACAGAGGACTGCTCTCACTCTTGCTTCCCCTGCCTTACTTATTTTGTGCTCTAGATTGATCTACCTTCTCTTCCTACCTCCTTTCATCAAACGGGCCAAACTGGAATTTATTCTATATGTTTACCAAATTACTATCATGTCCATGCCTGCATCCTTAACGTTGCAGCAGATTATGCTGGGTTTGGTTCAAAGTATTCTCAAATTCTTTAGTCACACATTTACACACAGTCTTTTAGTTTATTTCTACAAATAGTTCATCTTCTACCTAGAGTGTGGATTTTGGTAGTTTAGACCAACAGTGTATGTATACTCTATGTTAGCCCCCCGGCTTTTCTTGGGATCAATATGCTCCTACCTCAAGACCTAGCATTTGCTGTTCCCTCTGCCTGGAGACATTTTCCCCACCTCTCTCAGATCTTCATGCAAACATCACCTTCTCATGAGTCCTCCCCTGATGCCTCGTAATATTGCCATACCTCCCCCATCATAAAAGTGATATCCTCCTTCCTTGATTTTTCTCCTTAGCACTAATCATTAATTCTTATATACCATGAATGCTATTTATTTATTAATCTTGTGTTGTCAGTCAAAATCCACTAGCATATTTGCGCTGTGAAGGCAGGGATTTTTGTCTGATTTGTTCACTGCTACATTTCCAGCTTCTAGAAGAATGTCTAGCATATAATAAATGATGAGTATATATTTATGAAAATCAATGGATTATTCTCAACTCTGACTGACATTAAAATCATCTGGGAAACTTTGGAGATATGTTGACCCCATCTCCCAGAGA